>NC_000003.12:165220725-165372240 GCF_000001405.40 Homo sapiens | reverse complement strand
AAATGTGACGCTAAGAAGAGACATAAAGCCTGGAGAGTGTTCACTAGAGATGATAGTACAAGTTATGGGACTGGATAGGTCACTTAGAGAGATACAGTTGACAGAAAGAAAAAGAAAACTCATGATCAAGCCCTGGGAAATACGTACATTTTGAAAATGTTAAGTTTATAAATTTTAAGCTTATAAATTTATAAATTATAGATTACAAATTATATAAATATAATTTATATAATTAAAATTATGTAATTTAATATAAATTATATATAAATGATATTGGTATATAATTTATATTTGTATAATTTATAAGTCATATTATATTAACTCACATTTGATATATTTATATATAATTTAAAACATAATATATAAATATATTATAAATATGTTATATTTTATATAATATAAATATTACATATAATATATAAATATATTAAAATATATTTCTGTGATTTATTATAAATTATATAAATTATAAATTTTAAATTATATAATTTATAAATTTATAGCAATTATAAATGTATAGCAATTTACAAATTATAAAGTTTTAAAAATTATTCTGTGTATTGAGCAATGGGCGTATTTCAAGATGCTTCAGTATCTTCAGAATTTACAGACCACAGTTCTGGGGAAATCCAAGTATAAAGCTACTAGATTAGACCCAAATTATCAGATACTGGAATCATATTCTCAATCAAAAAATATAACTCTGTGAAGGTAAAAATCTGGAGCCGTATCATTCAGAAGCAATAAAACTGTTACATTTTCTACCTCCTTATTTTCTCAAAAGAACTACAATTTAATTTTTGATATTATATTAAGGCATAACAAGTTGATTTTCTGAGAGGATAACTGAAAAATCATTAACACTGATTCAGACAGGGAAACTTTGAAAAGTCATTCAGATCATTACTAAGCAAAACTTTACATTAGGAGCTCTATTGGAACAGACACTTCATTTCCATAGGATCTAGAGACTTCTTTTAAAATGCTGTCACTATTGCAATGTATGTAATATTTGATAAATTCCACCTGAAGACATGTTTCAGCAATTAAAACAAACTGTATAGAAACCCAGTAAGTTTACAATAATAAAATTCATCTGCATAGAAATATCTATCATCTATTTTTCTATCACTTAGTATGTCCATTTATTATCTATAATCAATTAGCCAGTTTATGTTGTCCTCCAGATATAATCTATAAATACTTTTTTTATTTCTAGAAGAAAACGTATTTTCATTTTTCATTTCTACAAGGAAATATCCTACTAATGTTATTGCATTGTTCCCAAGACAACTGAAAAGCAAGAATAATGAAAGATTCTATTTAAATATCTGCTTAAATTAGGATAGCTCTTGAGAACACTGAAGATTGCATTATAAGAAAAAAAGAACATAAATATTTAGAGAGTCATTAAAAAATTAATTACTAGATGCATAACAGTATGTATTATGGTTATGGATATAAATATATTCTACTAATATGTTTTTACTAGGAAATAACTAGTGGGTTGTACGTCAGCAGTTCTCATTTTATAAAATGCATGTAATTACATTCTGACTTTAGCATACTATAGGTGGTGATAGACTACACAACCCATAGCTGTGAGGATTTACAAAGGAGGTCTGTATTTCTAAAGCCAGGGAGTGCTTCTAAATTGTGGCTATCTCTTACTTCCAGCCTAAATTTGCTTTAGATTAGTTAAACTCAGTTTTGACTATTCTTTTGAACAATGATGTAACATATTGGTGGTGAAGAATAGGGGAGTGGAGGAAAATAGTAATAAAACTAAAACTGAACAGAAAAGGTCTGAATCATTGCAGCAGGCAAAGGGGAAGGAAATAAGCTATCACCAACAATTGGCTGGATTTGGTATGAAAGCATGGAACATTTGAAAATTAGCTGCTGTAATAAAACAGAAATTTCCTGTAGAGTTTTAAAAAGACATAAAGAAATGCTTTTATAATTTCATCAACATTTTCAAATACACCTCGGCATCATTTACACATTTCCATTTTTTCTACTTTTGTCTTCTTTAATGAAATGCATAATTATTTATTATTAAATATTTCTTATAGCTCAATTATATTAAAAAGTACTGAAAAACTGTGTCATATCATTCTTAGTTATGAACCAAACATTAACGCTTGTGCTTATAATTTTAAAATATTCTACCTATATTTACTTTAGCATTTATAAACCAAGTGAAGTTAACACATTTCAAAGACTTTATTAGCCATAGCATCATCCAAAGTTACTTGTGGTTGTGAAGAATAATAAGTAATACTCCTGACCACAAACAGCTGGAAATTTAGTTTGGAAAACACATTAAAATTATATGGAAATGTAATCATTATATAAGAAGAATTATATTACTGTTCAAATAAATATTTTAAAATATCATTAATAAATAGCAAAACTATAAATATGTGAAAGCCACAAATCTTGACATATTTCACTCATGTAGAAATGTTAAGTGGGAATGAAAATTAAGTTTAGGTGGAAATATGGAAGGTATCTTTGTTTACCTCCAGAAATGTCAAAAGTTCTAATACTTTTGTTATCCCTGTTTATTGCTTTCTTTAATTATGAGGAATCATAGTGAAATACATGAAGAAAGAGTAAATTCTACTAAGAAAATGGTTTCAACAAATCCATTTTGAATTTAATTGATGGACGCTTCAAATCGATTACATTCGACAATTATGCATTTTGTGTCTACTATGTGCAAGGCAAAATGCTAGATATTTTTTGATAATGTTTTAAATATACTTTCTTATTTTACTAACTGATAGGATCAACCAAATATAGTCTATTCAAACCGTAAAAAATATTAGGCTGCCAGACCGACTTAATCCAGAAAGGTCACGTATTTGTTACTCCCTATGAAAACGTTCAGCCTACTTTGCATACCAAACAGCTCCAAATTGAAAAGACTTACTAATTCCATAGAAACTGGGTCAAAATGTGAATATAATATAAATTGAAGTTCACCATCATTTTTTATCAAGACATATAGACAGAATGGTTGCAATTTACAAATTAGGTACCTATTCTAAGGTGTAAGACATTTTATTGAAAAAAAACAAAAGTATGAAAATATTTAAACTTATATAAAAAGAATCATAATCTCACACTCCTAATTAATTTTACACTCTAGGACACTAAAACATATATGAACAATTCTTTTAAACAATTGAAATAATTATGTGTATGTTATTAAGAATATTTCTATTTCTTATGAATGTTTGTCTGTAGTCTTGCCCTGTCCAAAATGATAGCAGCTTGCTACATGTGGATATTGAGATTGGAAAAGTGACTCAACCAAATTGAAATGTGCTATAAGTGTAAATTATGCCAAAATTTCACAGACTTAGTACAAATCAAACAATAAAAGAATCTCTCATTGGTGTCATTTATATTGATTACATGTTGAAATAATATTCTCAACGTATTGCTTAAATAAAATATATTACTAAAATTAATCTTACCTCATTTATTTCCATTTTATTATGTGACTACCAAAAAAGTATAAATTACATATGTGGCTCAAATTATATTTTATTTGAACAATGTTGTACTATATGGTATTCACTTGTTACTTTTAATGAGCAAATAATATTCTTAAATGATAATTCATGGCAATATTACTTATTAACATTCTAATATTGCATATTCTGGAGGCTTCAATTAAATTACTCCAACTCTGTAAAATACCACAATGAATAAAAATATTTATAGTTTTCTATTTCTATCAAATTATTTTATGAGAATAAAGTGGTAGAAATGTATCAAGCTAAAGGTCATAGATATCCTTATGGATCTTGTTACATATAAATAAATTGCATTTTGTGGAAAGGTTATATAAATTTATAATGCCTACAGCCAAAAAATTAGTATACTAGGTTCACCAAAATCATTCTGGAGTGAGTCATATAAATAAAATGAAAAAAATGCTACCTTAATGACTACAAAATTCTCTCTCAAAGTTACTTTAGTTTACATTTTTAGTTTTTACAGATGATGAATGGTATATCTTTTATTTACTAATGGATCTTCTGCAATTTTTCTCCTCTTAGCCTTTTATTTGAATTTTTATGATTTTCTTATAAATCTAAAGAAAATATGAGTATTTCAGTAAAAGAGCTGAGCATCTATATTAGATCTGGCAATTGTTGAATGCATACTCTTTTTCAAGTCCTGTGCTAGTGATAGTGACAGGAGACAGACAAATTCCTAGGCAGACAGCGATGGGTCCTGGTAAACACTGACCTTCAAGCCAAGGACAGTTTAAAGCCTGAAAACTGAGCTGCCAGTTCCAGATAGAGTCCAAGACTGGAGCGATAACTTCTATCCCCATCTTATCCACTCTCCTTCACTTGGTTTCTTCTGAATGATGTCTTTTAACCAATAAAATGGTGCTTTTTCCAAGACCACATGTATTAGTCTATTCTAATGCTGCTAATAAAGATATGCCCGAGACTGGGTAATTTGTAAAGAAAAAGAGGCTTAATGCACTCACAGTTGCACATGGCTGGGGAGGCCTCACAATTATGATGGAAGGTGAAGGAGGAGCAAAGGCACATCTTACATGATGGCAGGCAATAGAACGTTTGCAGGGGAATTTTGCTTCCATCGGATCTCGTGAGACTTATTCACTATCACAAGAACAGCATGGGAAAACTCACCCCCGTGATTCAATTACCTCCAAGTGAGTCCTTTGCATGACATATGAGGATTATGTGAACTACAATTCAAGATGAGATTTGAGTGGGGACAAAGCCAAACCATATCACCACACATGGACAAATCAGCATGCACTCCCCCATTCAAACCCATAATAACCCTGAACTCAGCCTCACAGATGACTGCCCACTTTTGCATTCCCTCTCATTACTGAGAACTTTCTTTCTGTCATTTGATAAAATTCTACTCTGCCTTACTCACTCTCTGGTGTCCATGTACCTTATTCCTCCTGGTCATGGGACAAGAACCCAGAACTCACCAAACTATGGGAGTGAAAGAGCTGTAATACTCCTGCTCACAGAATTGCTGGTGGTGAGAATGAAAGAGCTATAACACTCACTTTCACTCGCTGAGCTATGGGAGCGAAGAAGCCACTTAGCGCCACTCCTTCCTGCCCACTGAACTACAGGAACGGAAAAAGCCACAACACTAGTAACTTTACATATTTATTTTTACATTTAATTTTCACCTTGTCCTTCAACATAGATACTGCAAATCCCATTCAAGTTACTGAAATATCAGTTTAAATAAATGTACAAAGAATTAGAAATCTGTTAAGAGAAAAGGCCTAGGCAGATTGTCTTCAAAGCCTTTATTCTTTCCATTAAATAACTTGGTCCCTATATAATAAGTATTTACTTGTTTCTATCACATATGGTACATTTTCTACTTTTTCCTGCCATTTAAATATACATTTTCTATGTAAAAGTAATACAATAGGCAAACCAACAAAAAACCTCTATTGTGGCAGCATTTTTCTGAAACTTTTAATGTGATAAAAGGGAGAAATTACTGAAATATCAGAAAAATTGAGATTAAAAAGCTGGATTTGGGGAAATGACGATAAGAAAAAAATGGAATTTACATTTGAATTTGGATAAAAGTCTATAATGTAGGCATTTGTGGAAAGATTTTACTGCATTCAGAAAATATTTACTGAATATATAAAATAATCCAGCTGCCAAGGAGATGAGGCAGAGTAACTTCCTACCCAAGTGACAAAGAATTATAAGAACAAAACAAATGTTGCCTAAATATGTCACAGAAAAATCATTAAAAAGTGACATCTAATCTCTACAGATGAGAAAGAATTTATTTAATAATCAAGGCGGAGAAGGATGTTCCAGGCAGGGGAAATGGTATGAACATATAGATATGAAAAGACTAGACATGTTTAAAAATGCTGAAAATCTAGGTTTTATTAATGCTTAGATGCCTGTGTTAATTGAGAGGGGATGTATTAGAATGAATCTTAATTATTATTTGTTGAGGACCTTGTTTTCTCCAACACTATGATAGGTGTTTTTCACACATTTCTTCAATTCTCGCAATTTCTTTATGGTCCCTTTTACAAATGAGGTCCTGTGCTTCAAAGAAATAAATAACTTAAGTTCACACCCTTGCTAAATGGTTGTGTCAGGTATCAAACCCAAGCCTTACTGACCACAGCATCCTATTCTTTAATTATCATGTTTTTAGGTTTGTGAGGAGGACCTTGTAAATATTTTGATGTATTTTCCGGGGGAGAGGTGGGTAACACTGAATCAAAATTAACTTTAAGACAAATCTAATTAATCTTCAGGCTTGTGGCCTGAAGACGGGAAGGAGCCAGTTAGAAGGCTACAGTGGGAGATCTGACAAGAATCAATGAGCATCCCAAACAGAAGCTAGATTGCACAAAACTGGGAGATTTCTAATCTACGTAAGAATTAGAATAATAACACCTGAAGACTCCCTACTTTTAAGAAATGAAAAAGAGAGAGAAATTACAAATGACTACTGTTTTTCTAGTTTGGAAAATCAGTTGCTGGCCATTATGCTGTTAGTGTGAGAAGGGAAGTAGGAAAGAAAAATTGAGTGAAGACAGTGAATTTAATTGTTTAGTTTTGAATTACTGGAGCCTGGAGAATATAAAGCTAAAGATATAGAAAAGTCTGTTGAACATATAGATCTAACACTGAAATGAAAGGTTAGAGCTGAAAGTGTACGTTTCTTCATTGGCCTGAGGCTGTCATTTAAAACTACTGAAAGAGGGCTGGACATGGTGTCTCATGCCTGTAATCCCAGCACTTTGGGAGGCTGAGGCGGGCAAATTACGTGAGGCCAGGAGTTCAAGGCCAGCCTGGCCAACATGGAGAAACCTCATCCCTACCGAAAACACAAAACTTAGACAGGCTTGGTGGTGCAGGCCTGTAATACCTACTGGGGAAGCTGAGGTAGGAGAATCGCTTGAACTCCGGAGGCAGAGGTTGCAGTGAGCTGAGATTGCGCCACTGCACTCCAGCCTGGGTGACAGAACAAGACTCAATCTAAAACAAAACAAAACAAAACAAAACAAACAAACAAACAAAAAACTACTGAAAGAGAGGAGACAAAGCAATCAACTAGAATGTGACCGCAATAGAGATATGACAGGAGAGAAGACCTTAGAAGTACCAAGTGAGGCTCCAGTGGACCAGGAGTGTGAAGATGCTGCCTGAAACCAAAACGGGATGGTAGGTGGTGGGTATATAAGAGGAGAAGAAGGAAAGAAGGGACATCAAAAAGACACTACAGATGAGTTTTAAGAAGTAAAGAAAGGTCAAATGCCACAGAAAAATTAAGCAGATTGATGATGAAAAAGAAGCTATGGAATTTAATAATTAAGAGATCCTGAATGACCTTAAGCAAAGTATATTGTGTCAACTGTCTGTGTGTGAGAAATTCAGTTTTAAGTTATATTTCCACTTAAAATAGCAGTGACAATAACAATAGTAATCACTCTGAGAAAATTTCAGCCCGTTTTGAGGGAGTTAAAGCAGGCCTAAGCCTCAAAGCCAGGTCCTCTAACTTCAGACTCCACACTGTTTCATACTTATCATATTGTGCGTCTTTTGGTCAGTGGAGCCCCAGTTATTTTGAACAGTGAGGGAGATGCTGATATTCAGCAGGATAAGCCTGATATTTTACATTTGGGGTTGAATGAATCTTGGATCTGCCATGCACAAGCGATGTGAGGTTGTGAGCCTTGTTCCCTCATCTGAACCACAGAGAGAATAATAATCCCCTCTTGAGGGTGGCTGGGAAAATTTAATGAGGAAGCAAGTGAGAAATATGATAAGCAACTGTCATTAAAATAAATGTGTTTTTCCCCTTTAGTTTCTGTAAAATAAATACTTCATGTTTATTTTTAAAAGATGACAGGTTATTAGTAGCAATTGTTTTCGGTTAGCTAGGCAAGTGAAAAAAATACTGCTCAAACATGAGGATTTTTTTAAATTAAAAGGAATGGGACCGTGTTCGCAGCCAGAAAAACAAAACAAAACAAAACAAAACAGTCTCTGTAATTGCCCTACATGTCACCATGAACAGGATTGTGTATTTCACATTTTAAATCTAACTTTTTATAATGTTAGGTCTGAAATTTGTAGCTGGTTCTGCAAATATATTCAATAATATTCTTAAAGCCTGAATTTGGGAAGCTCTCAATATACTCTCTCCACAGTAAGAGGTACATAAATATTTTTCAGGGAAACTCATAAATATTTTCCTATACTTGGAAATGATTATGTTTTCATTTTCAATATCTTGTATAGAAAAAAAATTTCTTTAATAGTGATTTTATGGAAATATTTAGAATTTTTATTAATAGTATTGCCTAGTAGAAACAGGAAGAAGTAAAGTTAGCTGGGTGTGGTGGTGCACGCTATAATCCTAGCTACTTGGGAGGCTGAGGCAGGAGAATTGCTTGAACCCGGGAGGTGGAGGTTGCAGTGAGCCGAGATCGTGCCACTGCATGCACTCTAGCCTGGGCAACAGAGCTAGACTTTGTCTCAACAAAAAAAAAAAAAAAAAAAAGAATTACATTACTTGTTTTGTTCCCAAATAACTTTTTTACTTCTGACAAGCCACCAAGTTTCCTTTCAGAGGTTATTGCAGATGAAAAAAATAGCCAAAATTATTAAATATTATGTTCTAGGCATTATGATTCCCATGTATTAAATAACTTAATCCTCTCAAGAAATGTGTGCAGGAACACTTTGTGGATAAGAAAACTGAGATACATGAGAGGTTTTCTTAATTCACATTGGTAATAAATGTTAAGTGAGGATCAAAACCAAGAAGTTCTAGCACCAGAGTTTATTATGCCTTTGAGCATTGCTGTCCTTCCCTCTGGAATTCCGTAGAATTCTGGAGATAACGCAACACAATGCATCAGCTGCTCTTCTCACTTCAAACATGAAGACAGTGAGGTATAGAAATGTTATAAGATACGTCAGGTTAGATCACAGCTACATCTGGACTTATCACCCAGATCCCACAACTTTCTAATGCTTGTTTTACTACATTACCTTGACCTCTCTCTTCTGGGCATAAAATCATGATTTTATAAAGCCAGTTTAATAAGGGTTAATCTTGTGACTGCAGCTGCTTAGTAGCATAAATGGGCAAAATTATTATTGTACTTTGACATACTTAGTAAAGTGTCATGGAATAGGTCTCAAATTTTCCAGTATAAAATTGTTTTATATACTGAAAACCATAAAACGTTGTAAAAGAAATTAAAGAAAACACAAATAAAGGAAGAGATAGCCCGTTTTCAAGGATTAGAAGAATTAATATTGTTAAAAGTACCTACTACGCAAAGCAATCTGCAGATTCAATATACCCTTTATCAAAATTTCAATAACATCTTGGACTGAACTAGAAACATCAATCTTAAAATGCTTATAAAACCACAAAAAATACTGACTAATCAAAGCAATCTTGAACAAAAAGAACAAGACTGGAGGCATTATACACTCTGATTTAAAAATATATCATAATTATATTGTAATCAAAACACTATAGCACTGGCATTAAAAAAAAAAAGATGTATTAGCCAATGGAACAGGATGAGAAGCCCAGAATTAAACCCACACTTTTACAATCAGTTGACTTTTGACAAAGGAGCCAAGAACATACAATAGGGAAAGGTCAGTCTCTTCAATAAGTGGTGTCCAGAAAACTGGTATACACATGAAAGGAATGAAATTGAATCCTTGCATCATACCATACACAAAAAAGTAAACTCAAAATGGATTAAAGACTTAAAATAAGACCTGAAATCATAATATTATTAGAAAATAATAGAGAAAAAGCTCCATAACATTGGTCTCGGCAATAAATTTTTTGATATGACCCCAAAAGCTCAGGCAGTGAAAGTAAAAATACACAAATAGGATGGCGTCAAATTAAAAAGCTCCTGCATGGTAAAGAAAACAACAGACTGAAGAGACAGCCCACAGAATGGGCAAAAATATTTGCCTATCACACATCTGATAAGGGATTCATATCCAAAATATATAAAGAATTCAAACAACTCAATAGCCAGAAAACAAACAACCCACTTAAAGATGGGCAATGAACCTGAGCAGACATTAATCAAAAGAAGATGTACAAATAGCCAACAGGCTCATGAAAAAATGTTCAACATCACTAATCATCAAGGAAATGCAAATTAAAAACACAGTGGTCTATCACCTCATAGCTGTTATAGAGTAGCCATTATCAAAAAGATGAAATATAAGTATTGGCAAGGATATGGAGAAAACTATTGTACACTATTGATGAAAATGTATATTAATATAGCCACTACAGAAAATGGCATGCAGATTTCTCAAAAATTCTAAAAATAGAATTACATATAATCGGGTAATCTCATTTCTGGTTATATATCCAAAAATAAAATTGAAATGACTGTGCCAAATCACGATGCTCATGTTCATTGCAGCACTAGTCAAAATAGCCAAGTAATTAAATCAACCTTAGTTTTCATCAATGGATGAATGGAAAAAGAAAATGTTTTATACACAATGGAATGCTCTTCAGCCTTAAAAAAGAAGGAAATTCTGTCATTTGAGGCAACGTAGATGAACCTGGTGGACATTAATGTAAGTGAAATAAGCCAAGCATAGAAAGACAAATACGTGCCACATTTTCTTAATCCAGTCTACCATTGTTGGGCATTTGGGTTGGTTCCAAGTCTTTGCTATTGTGAATAGTGCCGCAGTAAACATACGTGTGCATGTGTCTTTATAGCAGCATGATTTATAATCCTTTGGGTATATACCCAGTACTGGGATGGCTGGGTCAAGTGGTATTTCCAGTTCTAGATCCCTGAGGAATCACCACACTGACTTCCACAATGGTTGAACTAGTTTATACACCATGGAATACTATGCAGTCATAAAAAATGATGAGTTCATGTCCTTTGTAGGGACATGGATGAAGCAGGAAACCATCATTCTCAGTAAACTATCGCAAGGACAAAAAACCAAACACCGCATGTTCTCACTCATAGGTGGGAATTGAACAATGAGAACACATGGACACAGGAAGGGGAACATCACACACTGGGACCTGTTGTGGGTGGGGGGAGGGGGGAGGGATAGCATTGGGAGATATACCTAATGTTAAATGACGAGTTACTGGGTGCAGCACACCAAAATGGCACATGTATACATATGTAACTAACCTGCATGTTGTGCACATGTACCCTAAAACTTAAAGTATAATTAAAAAAAAGAAACTTCAAAATTAGTACAATAAAAATAGCTAATACTTGTAAAAAACAAAACAAAACAAAAAAACAATACTACATGATCTCACTTATATGTAGAACCCAAAAAGTCAAACTCATAGAAGTAGAGGGTAGGATGGTAGTTACCAGAGGCTGAAGGATGGAGGAAGGAATGCGGAAATGTTGGTCAAAGAGTATAAAGTTGCAGCTGGGAGAAATAAATTTTTGAAATCTATTGCACAGCAGGGTGATCATAGTTAATAATAATGTATTTTATATTTCAAAATTTATAAGAGTAAATTTCAAATGTCTAACTACAACAAATGGTATGTAAATGAAGTGCTAGATATGTGAATTTGTTTGATTTAATCATTTAATCATTGTACACATATAGCAAAACATCACCTTGTACCCCCAAAATATATACAATTATAATCTGTCAATTAAAAATAAAATTAATTTAAAAATTATTTCTATTATCTTGATAGTACTGTTCTTTTATGGGTTTTATCTGATTTTGAAAGTTAGTAAGATCTTTTAATAAAAGGCTGTGACAGAGACTATTTCCATGTGCTCTTCTAGTTACCCTTGTAATTATGTTGGTCATCTGTAAGGTAGACAGAAAAAAATATTAAAAAATTTACTTCTCTAGCCATTTAAAACTCCCTACTGAGCCTATGAACCCTCTCGCCTGTCATGTTGACTTTGACAACCATTTTCTCCTGAAGGCATGGAAGAAGAAAGATGGAAATAGCTTAAATCCTAGAGTCAGTGCTGAGAAGAAAGACACCAAACAGAGACACCTGGCAGGCATCAAATGTTGCCTCAATGAGAAATAAACATTTCAAATATTAAGCCACTGGTATTTGGGCTTTATTGAGCAACATAGATATTGCGCTTTGTTGAGAAGCACAGATATTGGATTAGAAAATGAAATGGGACCGTTTTCACCAATAGTAAAAACCAGCAATTTGTTTAGCAAATCAATGACAAGTAGTTAGGAAGCTGCTAAAAGAGGCTGGGGAAATAAAGATACACATTTTGCACTAGCAAAACCTTCAGTAATATCATCTGTGGTAACTTAAAAAGCAGTTCTTGTTTTACTAAATTTCATTTAAAGTCAGACTCCTGAATTCTAAAATCTCTATCATTTCTATCATAGTAAGTTATGATGAAGTTTTCACTTGGATATACAACTAAATTCTGGAAAGCAGATGTTCATCTGTAAAATGGGGATTATAAAATTTATTTCTCAATGTTGAAGAAGATAAGAGAAAATTTGAAAGCACTTTGCACTATTAATATTGAGGTTGTCTTGAACAACTTGAATGGAAGTAGGGAAAAATTGAGAAGGAAACTGTGTGAGAAAAATATATTTAATTCTAGAAAGTATGATGACTCTAAAATATATTTGTTTCAATAATATGAAATTGGCTAATAGAACCAGTACACCTAATTATACTTTCAATTTTTATCATTAGCTACTTATATAATTAACATGAAAATGTATAATTGTTGATATGGTTTTGCTGTGTTCCCACCCAAATTTCATATTGAACTGTAGATGTCACGAGAGGGACCCCACATGTCATGGAAGGGACCCAGTGGGAGGTAATTGAATCATGGGGTTGGTTACCTCCCTGCTGTTCTCATTATAGTGACTGAGTTCTCATGAGATCTGGTGATTTTATAAGATGCTTTTCACCCCCTTCACTCTCACTTCTGCTTGCTGCCACAACGTGTAGAAAGACATATTTGCTTCCCCTTCTGCCATGATTGTAAGTTTCCTGAGACCTGCCAGTCATGCTGAACTGTGTGTCAAACCTCTTTCCTTTATAAATTACCCAGTCTTGGGTGTGTCATTATAGCAGCGTGAGAATGGACTAATACAATTGTTTATTCATTTTGCATATATATAAATAAATACTATAAATTATTGTTGGTTAAAAACACAGATTTTGAAGTCAAAAATATCTGAGTTTAAATTAGTTTCTGATGAAATTTCACCCCATAACTTAACCCCCCAAAGCTTCAATTTTATCTAGATAATTTAAATAATGAAATTACTTCATTTGTTGGCCAAATAATAGAGAATTATATGTTAATTATTTAGTATATTTTCTGAATCATAGTGTTAAAACATTGATAGCTATTTTGTTGTTGCATCAAACACTGTCATAATTATTATAACCACCTTTATACATGCTCATATATCTTTCGCCAAAGATATTAATAACTGATGAGCAGTCTACAAATGGACTCAACAGGATCTTTAAATTTAAAACAATGGAGTTATCAGAAATGCTTACATTACACTGAAACATTTCCCCCCAAATTGTAAAGTGACCCCATCTTTCAGTAGAATGGTTGGTTTTATTGAAAATGGTAGAGGATTTTAAGGTGGTTAAAACAAAATTATTTTAAAATCTAGTGTATTGGAAAGAAAAAAATATTTTGCCTCATTCTTGTTATTTCCATGAATATGAAGTGTAAATAGCCTTTTTATTGGAAATGGTGAATATAAACATCACAACTAAATGAAATAAAATCACCCTTAATATCAATAAAGATTCAGATAGCATTAGCCATCAGCAGTCTCTATATAATTCTCTAACTTCAATTAAGAGTTTAGATTTTAAAATATGAAACCCTTGCTCTATTCAGTGAGGTTACAGTTTAGTTGTTTATTTAATCTTGACAGATTGTGTCCTATTGTTCTGAATGAGTGCTCATTAATTTGAAGCAAGAAGTTGATCAACTTTTAAAAATTTTTTTAATAATGCAGGGGAAAACTATTTTGGCTCAATATGTGATATCTTTTCCCAGGATTTTTCATCTGGAGGCCTCCTCAAATTTTTAAATTGTATCATAATTTTATTTAAAAGTTTTGTGGGAGGTTTTCAAAGTGCTCAGAAACCTCATGAGTTAAGAGTGTAATCTCAGAAAACCTGCGTAGTAATTGACAAGGAAATAATGTTGGGTAGGAAGCACTTTGCAAGAGGCTATTATGGATAGTGAGTTTCAATAATTTCGTTGAAATGGGGTGCAGTGACTCACACCTGTAATCCTAGCACTGCGGAAGCCTGAGGTGGGTGGATCACTTGAGCTCAGGAGTTTGAAACCAGTGTGGGCAACATGGTGAAACCCTATCTGTATAAAACATACAAAAATTAGCAGGGCATGGTGGCACACACCTGTGGTCCCAGCCACTTGGGAGGCTGAGGTGATAGGATCACTTGAGGCCAGCAGGGTGAGGTTGCAGTGAGTCAAAATTGCACTACTGCACTCTAGCCCAGGGAACACAGTGAGACTCTGTCTCTAAATAAATAAATAAATGAAATAAAAATAATGTCTTTGATACTCAGAAGAACTTTTAAACTACCCTGAATACAAGCCCCTGATTCTCAACCCCATGACTGTTTATACTGGATCGTATCAAAATTTAAGAGGGAATATATATTTATATATGTATGTGAATAGTATTCTTTCTCTCTGTTTTTCTCAAAAACACATAAATTATCTACATTTTAAATTGAGAGACAGTTGTGTCGAAAAAAGATTCCTTCCTAAATTAAATTTTAATTATAACAATGCATAATTAATCAGAGCAAAAATATGCAAACCACCTTAAAAAATCAAAATGGATCTGAGGTCACAAGACCTCATTCTATCTTGGCTGAATATACTAAGATAGGTAGGGAAAACACATGTTTTTAAGAAGAATTAGCTAGTCATAAAATAAATCTAAAATCATTGAGCACTTACTACATTCCAGGCAATATTTGAACTTTTCAAATATTTTTCACTGAATAATCAAACAAATCCTATTTCAAAAATATGCTTATTAACATATTAAAAGTAGGACATACAGGAAAATGAACTTGCCCATGATTATACAACTAGTAAGTCCTGGAACCAATTTAGAAAAAGAGTCAAGAAAAAGTAGTTTAGGAAAACTACTCAGGGCTCATCCTAGCACAGTTCAGAGTAAACATATTCCTATCCAATAGATTTGGAGTGTTTTACTCCATAGGCAAAGCTATTCCTACTGTGGAAATGGTGGATCTGAATCTGTTGCCATTAGACTTTTCTTTCTTTAACTAATGAAATCCATTTATTTGAAATCCATACTCACCAAGCAGTTTACAATCTGATTTTCCCATATATAAAAATAGAAGGAACTCATTATGTTGAAATAAGTGTTTTGATTTGATAGTTAAGTGTCTCCTTATAAATTTATAACATGCCATTTTAAATTTACACACCATTGTTTATAACAGGCATATTTTAATCATAATGTAACAGAATACCAGTCCAACAGTGGCTATAACTCAGTTTAGTTTTCCCCGATAACAAGAGGACTGAAGGTAGCGATCTGCTGGTGTTGGTTTCACAGCTTATATAACAATATCAGGATCAGAGTCTCTGAAATTAATTTAGCTTTCTTCTCTTGGTCACAAGATGGCTACCTCAGCTCAAGGCATCATGTCAGCATTTAAGGGAAGAATTAAGAGGAGGGGTCTGTATCTCCGATATCTGGATATGTTATCAGGGGAGAGAAAGATTTTCCAGAAATTTCTCAGCAGACACTGGCCAAAATTGTATAACAGAGCTACTCCTACAAGTATAAAGATTGAAACAGTGAATAACAGCAAGGCCCGCTTCTCCTAGCATCACGTGTGCAACACATTTTTACCAATTTTGAAATTCTAAAAATGCAATTAAAAATTTCAGTGTCAACAGCCAATTGCCACCACAGCAGGAATGTTTATCTTGCAATTATTCTAATATTCTATCAATTCATTTCTTCATATCCAGGTATCTGTGGTCCCAGAATGGGTTCCTAAGAATAAAACACACCAGAAATCTGGGCAAGTCCACATTTGGTGGGCACCTTGATCAACCAAAATTTCATTTACATAAACACCAGTGAGTCCCATGGGAAAGAGTGGTGTGTTGGAGCACATCATCAAAAATTCAGGAAAAAAGATCCTTAACCACCATAGCACAAATAGGTTGAGAAAGAAATTTCATTTGAGGCAGAAAATTCCTGGTACAGGTTCCTAGGCTTTAGACTTTGGTGGACGCCCGTAAGAAGGAATAATTTTGAGGGTAGAAGTGGGTAGTGACAAAATCTGTGGTCCGATCATTCCCAGAAACAAGGGAGTTGTGATCAATCTAAAGAACGAGTGTTGTGATCAATCTAAAGAACCAATGAAATGAAAAACCTCTGTGAATCAGGACCATTCCACTCTCCGCTTCATTCTATTCCCAAACTGGGGTTTGCAATTTGCTGGCGAATAATAGTTAATTTACTTGAATAAATCAACAGATAAATATAGCTAAAGTATTCTCAAACTGAAAGTACAAATCTTCAAAGTACAGCTCAGTAGAGTGGCTTCGTAAATGTGGGGATCATTGTCTTTGTATAGTCCTGAGGCATGCTCAGTGGAGGACAGTGAAAAAGAAGCTATGGTACTGCCAAAAGGAGCCATGGACTGAGGCTAGAGGCTTTCAATTTACTGGGTGAGTTTCAGGATCTACAAAGGAGAGGAAGAGAAGGGATTTGGAGCATAGTGGTAAAACAATACGAAACAAAACAAAACAATAAAAACGAGACTTGAGTAATAAACATATCTGGTCTTGGTCCAGCAACCTTGTGATGAACAGAGAGACACTCAGTGTAGATCCTCCTTCAAGGAAAAACGTGATGCTCCAGCTGTTGAAAGTGCTATTGGCAGAAGCCTACAGCTGTTAGCCCTTAAGGGGTTGTTTGAGCTGAAGAATTTCTCCCAATTCACACTCTTCCTGCGGGTACATCCAACGACTGTAAGTGTTTTCATTTCTGCTCATCCTGGGACAGTTCTTACAGGTCCACTTTAGCTCTGAAGTTCCCTGATATGTCTCCTAAAATTGTCCAGCCTTAAAACTGGAGCTCTCCCTCTGCCTAGTCTTTTTTTTTTTTTTTGGCACGGAGTCTCGCTCTGTCACCCAGGCTGGAGTGCAGTGGCGCAATCTCGGCTCACTGCAAGCTCCGCCTCCCAGGATCACGCCATTCTCCTGCCTCAGCCTCCTGAGTAGCTGGGACTACAGGCGCCCGCCATTTTGCCCGGCTAATTTTTTGTATTTTTGGTAGAGACGGGGTTTCATCCTGTTAGCCAGGATGGTCTCGATCTCCTGACCTCGTGATCTGCCCGCTTCGGCCTCACAAAGTGCTGGGATTACAGGCGTGAGCCACCTCTGCCTAATCTTACTTCATTCCTTTTTCTTCCACAGAGGCCAGTTCCAAGGCACTTACTAATAACTGTGTTGCACTGTAAATTTTGTCTCAGAGTTCTCTTCCTGTGAACCCGAATTGTGACACACCTCACTGAGGGGCCCTTAATTATTCTCATTTGAAAAACGGAAATAACAGTACCAGTTTCAGAGTTTGGGGTTTCATATTTTGTTTACAAATATAAGCAAGAACTGTTGTTCTGACGTTATTTTTTCACTAATGTTTTGCTATTGCACCTGCAGCCTGATTAGGTGTAAAAGCATGTGGATAAATAAACTACATACACAAAAATTAGTCTAATATCACATGAACAAATAGCTCAATGTTTACATTGACACAGCATAGATAACATTTTAGTATAATATCAAATGTGTTTGTTTTGCTTTAATAATTTCAAATGAATATTAACACTTCTGTTTATATATCTTGGCATTTATAATAAGAAATTTTGCCAAGATTATGCTATTATGAAATAAATTACTATTAAATACTTCTTCCAGAAATATTTCTGTTGCAATATATTCCATTAAGCACTTTATTATAGGACCACTATTTACTTTATTGTAATAGATACTTCAGTCATTTTAAAATTTTATTATATTAAAATTGTTTATCTAAAATGACATCTAAGAACATATTCTTTTTTAAAAACATTTTATGAGCTAATTTTAGATGTTCATGATTTATACAATATTTCTCTTTGTTAGAGGAGACAGGTAGGTCTTTGAGATCATTTAAGAGACTGTTATTTCAGGTTCTTTGAAGCTAACTACAATTTGAAGCTAACTACAATTTGAAGCTAACTACAATTACTATAATTTTTACTGCAATTCTTTTTATCAAATATTACAAGCAGTAGAAAAATTCAAAGGTAAATTAATCAGTGAGTTAATATAACTATAGACAAAAACTATCTTTTGTGTATGTAAAACCTTATTCCCAAAGCTATGAAGACATATAAAGAAAATGGATGACACTATGTTAATACATTGCAGAATACAAAATATAATCTGAAAGATGACATAGTTGAATAAACAAAAAGAAGACAGGATCAAATGAAAAACTAGAGTCACTATAATAGCAAATCTTCAAACAAATACGGGTGTTTATTTTCTATAAAACTGCATGCTAAGCACTACAGGGAATACAAAGAGGAGTCAATTTACAATTTAGTATGCAAAGAAGAAAAGTGCACAACAATCGGGATATAGCAATGATAAGAAATAAAACATATGTTAAGTATAAAAATTATTGATAAATGCTAGCCAAGATCAAGAGAGGGAGACATCATATGTATTTGGTGGAAGAATTAGAAAGGAATGGAGAAAATAGCTTTCATTAATTTTATCTACAATTTCAACATTGTTGATATCAATATTTAGAATGGAAGAGAGGCAGAATGGGGAAGGCATATCAAACAGAAAAACAGCCATTGTTGAATGAAGATCATATAAATGTCTTGCATTTAAAATTTAAGAATATACGCTAATTCAACAGATATGTACAAGTTGGCCTGATTTTACACATAGACATTTTAGAGCAAAAGAACATGGAATGTAAAAGAATGATTTTAAAACTAATATCCCCGTTGGCTCCAACATCATTTAGGAGACATATTGCTAAAGCAGATGAGGAGAGGGAGGAAAAAGGTAGATTTCTAAACCACAAAACAATAATTTATTAACATTCACCCTGTCTATTTCATCCTATTTAAGCCTATAATACTCCTTGTAAATTTGTGTGCTTGCAGCTTTGCAAGCTCAGTTTTCCCTCTGAGGCCTCAAATTCAAGTGAGATTATGATGATCCTTCTAGAGGTTTTATAAACCTTCTCACCTACTAAACACCAAAATTCCTCCAAAATGTGACCCCTTTGGTTGACAAAAAATGAATACCTGGATTATTTGTTTTCTTTTTTAGTATTCCTCATTATCATTTCAATTCTATTTTTCCTACTGCCAGTCATCTTCTACCTAATAACGCCTTTCCTTGACATCTGTTATGTTCTTCAAGATCTATATCGTAATCCAATCTGCACGGACATGACATAGAACTCCTGAATTAGGTACTTTCTCTGCATTATGATACACCTTTTACATTTTCTTCCTTTCAAGTTCACTAAACTTGCTCTTATTCCCAGTATCAACTCCTATTCCTCAATCCTGCCAGTTCACACAGATCTTGAACCTCTGATTAGAATGGACTCATCAAAAACTTGGTTTCCACCACGGCATCTATCGCAATTTCAGATTTCTCCAGAGTTTTATTTCCCTTTCCCTGTTTCCGGGCCAGGCTAGACCATGAATTCTTGGGGAATAAAGACTTAAATGCATAAAGCCAAATTCCCCTAAAAACAATCATGATACTAATCTTTTACTGGGAACTCACTATTGCAAAACATTATTTAATTCACATACTTTTTTTTCATTTTTTTGCACACTCCCAAGAAAGCAATATCAATATTTACATATTCTTTTGAAATCTCCAATTTATACATTGTTTAATAATTTCCAGTGTGAACTTCCTCAGATAAATTTCTCCCAAACTCACAGTAGATTACTTTTTTCACATATAGCTCTTGTTCTATCATTTAGTTTCAGAGAAAAAAGTGTCTCTTCTGAATTTCAATACTAACATTTATATTTTTAAAAGCTTGCCTTACTACTCTCTTCTTCCCTGCCAATGTCTGTTCCCCAAAACTGATGTTTACTCGAATGTTGAATATTCCACAGTAAATTCTATCAAGTCAAAAATCGAATTCCCCTTGCCCTCCTTTCTTCTCAGGTACTTAACATAGTCAACCAAACTATGGTATTTTTCACATGGTCTCACATCAGTTGTCTACTTGCACAGTATATATATCATGGTCCTGTTCCCCACCTCTTCTCAATCCTACTGCCACGAGGACCGAAGAGGCAGGATTCATGATGTATCTTGACTTCGATATTGCAAATACTTCTGAACTAGTTTAATTGATCCCATTGTTATTTATCTTCCATATATTGTAGCCAAATTAATCTTCTGGAAAGAATGCAATATTACTTTGTTTGCTTCCATGAAAGCACTCTTTTGCCAAGCAGTCTCAATTCATTAGTCTGACCCTTAAGACTCTCCTTAACTAGTTGACTGTATTTTTACAATTTTACACTATTCCTCAAAATAGGCTCTATACTCCTTCAAAACAGAAATGATCCATAAAATGTAATGGTGGACTTTTTTTTTTTTTGTCCTGTTTTAGCTCTCAATCATCTCTTGAACATACTTCATGTGTCAGAAGGAACTCCAGCTTTATGATTCCAGCTTCCATTGCTGTCAGGACACAGGTAATGTCAACCCAGTTCCCTAGTCAGATATACTGACTTAAAATATCAGAAAAGAAAGATAGGAAAAGAAAGACACAAAGACCAGGCGCAGTGGCTCACGCCTGTAATCCCAGCACTTTGGGAGGCCGAGGCAGGTGGATCATCTGAGGTCAGGAGTTCGAGAGTAGCCTGGCCAACATGGTGAAACCCCATCTCTACTAAAAGTACAAAAATTAGCCGGGCGTGGTGGTGGGTGCCTGTAATTCCAGGCACTCGGGAGGCTGAGGCAGGAGAATCGTTTGAACCCCGGAGGCGGAGGTTGCAGTGAGCCGAGATTGCGCCACTGCACTCCAGCCTGGGTGACAGAGTGATACAGCATTCAAAGGCAAAAATATGAACTTTTTTCCGCAAAATTCTCAATTTAGTGTTCTGTGCCAATTACTTTTTATTTTATAACCTCTTCTTCTTAATCTTCTCAATCTGGCTATTCACCCACAACCATATGAACGTATACTTTAAATATAACTTGGACTTTCTATGGAGTAATCAAATGTGCACTTTTAGGCTTTAGTTCCTGTAAATTTTGCTACAGAATTCATTACCTCTAACCAACTCTTTATTCTTAAATATGATCCTTTTTTGGTCTAAAATTTCATATTCTTAAACTTCCTTTCACCTGACTAGTCATTATCTGTCTGTCCCTTTGCATTCTCTCTGCACTAACCCTCCAAATATGGATATTTCTTGAAGCTCAAAGAAAAAATGATCCCCGTCTCTACTAAAAAATACAAAAAAAAAAAAAAAAGAAAGAAATTAGCCGGGTGTGGTGGCGGGTGCCTGTAGCCTGTAGTCCCAGCTACTCGGGAGGCTGAGGCAGGAGAATGGCACGAATCCGGAAGGTGGAGCTTGCAGTGAGCTGAGATCATGCCACTGCACTCCAGCTTGGGCAAAAGAGTGAGACTCTGTCTCAAAATGAAAAAAAAAAAAAAAGAAAAAAAGAAAAAATGATGCTCTTTCTCTATATTTCTTCTCTTGTTTTGATCCTCAGTAATGGCTGTATACTGATAATGCTAAAATATATTTATCTCTGCCTTCTTTTATACGTTTTTGTTACATATCTCCAACCTTTTCGAGAATATTGACACTGAATATCTCACCATAGTCCTAAATTTTTTACAGCTAGAACTTAAAAAAGCCTTCTATCTCAACTTTCTGTTTTCTATCAATAATACTATTATTCTTCCTATAGCACTACTTCAGAATACCTATCCTTTGGGATACTCTGTATAAGGCAAAGTCATAATCAAATTGGAACATAAACTTTATTAAATGGTTACATTGTTCAGTGTCCAAATAACTGAATAGCAAATTAATAGACTACTAAACATTCTCTTCTCAATCAGAATTATTAAGGATAGAGTGATAAGAAAATTTAGCATCAGACATGACATCTCATCAATTAGTGAGTGCAATAATTATATTCATGGCTAAATGAAAGAGAGAGAAAGGTCCATGTAAATTTACATTACCTCTGTTTAAAATTTATTTTAATATTATAAAACAGAATTACAATGAAGCTTCAAACAATAAAAAGTCCCTTTATGAAATTTTTGACATATCTAAGGTGTGTAAGTCCTTGTACTCTACCTTTCGTGAACTTGTTTTAAAATTGCTATCAGTAGGAGCATATAGATTAATTCAATAATAGCTTTGTTCATTTTATGATTATAATAAGTTTTATAAAATACTGTGATTTGGGGTTTGTGCTATTGTGTAGCACAAACTGTACAATATTGTATAAAAATATCTATTTTTGGTTTCTATTACTGACATTCAAAATTCAACATAAGAGGAGGCAGAGCAGATAAAAATGAAGAAGACCAAGAAAAGGTTCTCTGAATTGTTTGGGGGAGACATGAAGCCTGTAGGGAGATAAATGTTGGATGTTTGACATTTAACAAAGAAGGCAGAACTTGAACAACATTTATAGAAAAGTGGAGGCTCTAACCAAAGGATTAGTTTAGAAAGAGGAAGATATAAGCATATTTAGAAATAAAGGGGTGAAGATAAATTGCCATTGCTACCAATAGAGAAAATAATTATAGCACTGAACCTCAAAGGATGTGGCATAGAATACTTTTTGGAATATATATATATATATATATATATATATATATATATATATATATATATATATATATAATCTCCTCTTTGGAAAAGAGGAAAAGCCTCACAATCATAAAAAAGAAGTATAAGTTATATTCAGAATCACCTACTTGCTAAGGCAGGATAGAAACTTATTCATTTCAGAAAGAAATGGGTCAAAATTATCAGTACAAACATATTGTAGCATGTAAGTTTATTACATTTCTGACTCCAGTGACATAAATTGTAGGAATTCCAAATTTCTAAGAATGTATTAAAATATGTATGCGATATTGGAAATCTATGAAATTTGCCTCATTGATTACATAGAATGTTCAGGACAGTAAAAGCAGAACAAAATAAAAACTATCAATGAATAAGAAAGAAATTATAACACTCATTTTCTTGCATTCTAATTATGTAACTATCCACTAATCAATAAAAGCATAAACAGTTTTTTATCAGGTAAAATGGTGACCAATGTCCATTTCTCTTATTCTTATTAATGGGTCAGGGCAGAATCTTAAGGTTGTTGGAATCAGTCTCAAGTTTTAATACTGAAAATAGAAAGAATAGGCTGGGCATGGTGGCATACACCTGTAATCCCAGCTACTTGGGAGGCTGAGGGGGGAGAATTGCTGGAACCCAGGAGTTTGAGGTGCAGGGACCTGTGATTGTGCCACTGCACTCCAGCCTGGGTGACAGAGTACAACCTTGTCTCCAAATAAATAAATAAATAAAATAGGAAAAGAAACAAATAGATTACATATAATGTAGAATACTTTAAAAATGAGAACTTTATTATAAGAAAATTAGCAATTCAAAATGCAGTGCTATTCATACTAAGATTTTGTCTCTATGATGGAAGACTTCTGTGTAAAATGTAAAAAAAAAAAAAAAAAAAAATCAATGAATAGTTACTGTAGTGGCCATGGCCATGTAGTAGTGAAATAGTTCAATATTTAGGCCGGGCACGGTGGCTCATGCCTGTAATCTCAGCACTTTTGGAGGCCAAGGTGGGCAGATCACAAGTTCAGGAGATCGAGACCATCCTGGCTAACACCGTGAAACCCCATCTCTACTAAAAATACAACAAATTAGCTGGGCGTGGTTGCACGCGCCAGGTACACAGGAGGCTGAGGCAGGAGAATTGCTTGAACCCGGGAGGCAGAGGTTGCAGTAAGTCTAGATCATGCCACTGCACTCTAGGCTGGGCAACACAGTGAGACTCATCTCAAAAAATAAATAAATAAATGAAATAGTTCCACGTTTAATTGAAAATATACAGTTCATGCAAATTAACTAAACCAATGTCTTTCATTTTTATATCACAAAATCATCTCTCCTGCAAGCTGTATGATTGATTCACAGCTTCTGCCAAGCAGCAGTGAGTTCACAGCCTCAGGTCCTTTTCCTGAGCTCCCTTATCTCTTACATTCGATTGTGTATTCTTTGTTTTTTCTGAGGTTATATTTTCAAGTTAAGAGTTTTCCTTTCGAAAACACATGGCAAGATGCCAGAAAAGTAACTCAAGTGGTTTTTGGATGACTGGAGTAATTTTTAGTGTTTTGAAGTTTCTGAGTTTTCTATATGGGCTTCTCCGATTTTTGTAATAAAACAATTTCACTAACATGTGATAATATTTCTTAAAATCAGCAGGTAGCATCAATCATTGAGCCAAAGAATGAAATCCTGAACGTATTTAATGAAATTAGTACAAAATACACCAAATAAATAAATACAATATATACACCTATAATGGCATTTAAATATTCATCTTTTCACACTATTTTCTGCCCCAACATAGATTAACTCCCACATAAAATAATGAGCATGAAGACAATATGGTGATCATAAGATTGCTTCATATCTTCAATGACCAAAATCTTTCTTTTTCTTTGAATTCTGATTCAAAGATCACTCAAGAATAACTTGACAATTTTTCAGTGGTATAAGGTTTCAGGAGGATTCTATACTTTCACACTGTATTAAAGCATCAACTATGCAAGTGCTCTTAGCTGGGATGCTATTAGGATGACATGTTGACCTTATCATCCAGAATCATAGAGTTCCCAACTCTGGCATCCATTAACTGATTGCAGTCTCATTGTGGCTACAGAAGCAATTGATCTCATCTCCTTTTAACTCTGAAATCTTGAAAATATATCTAACCTGTTCAGCTATGACTCTGTCACCAGTGCCCTTTCTGACCTTAGCTAGAAAGAATTTAACATGTTTGGTTCAACTTTATGAAAATTACTGTGAAATAACCCTTGCTGTTGGTCACTTATTTCTTTATTAAATAGCAGTTTACAGAGGAATGACTGTGTGCCAGAAACTGCTAGGTGCTAGAGGTACAGACAACACTAAGACAAGCGTAAGTACAGCGTGTTCTGAAAGCTTATAGCTACGGCTCTTGCCCTAGCTTGAGAGGTCAGGGCAGAATTCATCACTAAGGCAGTGCCATGTGAGATGGGATGCAAATAATGAGAGAGAATCACTAGGCATAGGGATAGAAGGAAGACAGGAATCTAGCGCCCCCTCCCAAAAAAATGGCACTATATGAAATAACCCTAAGGCAGGAAGTAAAAGGACCCATTCCAAAAATATGAAGCAGGTGAGAAGTCAAATCAGCCCCCAGAGATAACATGCTATTGGAAATTAGAAAGCACTTTAGGGATATAAGCATAGTAGAGACATATTTATGCCAATTATTTTTAAAAGATAACTCTGGCTAAAATGTGATAATTTCATTAGGCAAGACAAGAGAAGGAGAAAGACCAAAGATGAGGCCACTGTGGTATTCCTGAAGAGACCTCTGCCTTTGGGAGATGGATATAAATAAACTACTATTAAATAGGTCTTCCAGACTGGATGAGCTAGACCTGATGCCCTAAAGACAGGGGGCTAAGGGTAAGAGAGTTATCAAGAATGGCTGGATTTCTCACCTAGATTTTTCCTTAGTTTATGTGCTAGCTGTTAAGCCTGGGTATAAGCTGCATTAAGTGCTTATTTTGGTAATTTTCCCCATACTCCAATCTTTTAGAAGTCAGATGACAGATATCCTCAGGCTGACTGCTTGAATGCCAACTTAGACCTTCAGTCATTGCCTGTTTGTGGATTTTCCATTGCCTGCCTATTTTAACTCCTTATTTTCAATTTTCTGACCTTGAATGACTGCCTCAATTGCTGCATTTATTCTTTTTTCTACCCTCTGTATTTTAAATTCTGTTTGTTTATTTTATACTGCTCCATTAAAAAAATAAGGATACTTTTAAAAATACCTACAATAAAATAAAAAATAAGAATTCAAGTGAAATCCAAAAACTGAGTGAAAGCTGGGCCAGATTTGTGCAGGTCAATAGGGTGTGAAGCTATTTTTATAAAAAGAGTTGCAAGTTTTAAATATCACTTTGTGGTGGACAAAGCAAAAAAATAAAATATGATTTATTGCCCAGTTCACATTATCTTCAAAAGGAAATATGTCAATTATCAGAGGAAAGCTCTAGATTTCTTGGCACTTAGGAGTGACACATTTCTCTCAAAAAAGAGAGCCTAAATGATGCAGTGTTACAGCTCAATATCCCTGCACTAAATATAATGCTGACTTTCATATACTACTTCTTTCTATTAGTCCTTTTCCACATTGTTATAAAGAACTACCTGTGACTGGGTAATTTATAAAGAAAAGAAGTTGACTTTACTCACAGTTCCATAGGCTGCACAGGAAGCATGGCTAGGAGGCCTCAGGAACCTCATGATCTGATGGAAGATGAAGGGGAAGCAAGGCATATATTACAGGGTGGCAGGAGAGAGAGAGAGAGAGAGAGAGAGAGAGAGAGAGGGAGACAGTCAGGGCGAAACCACCAAACACCTTTAAACCATCAGTTCTCATGAGAACTCACTCTTTATCATGAGGACAGCATGAAGGAAACCACCCCCACGATCCAATCACCTTCCACCAGGTCCTTCTACATGTGGGGATCACAATTCGAGATGACATTTGGGTGAAGACACAAAGCCAAACCATATCATTTTTAAAGTATTTAACATATTAGTATGAAGAGGTAGTGCACAGTTATTCTAAAAATAATTCTCAATGCTATCCAAATATATTATTTGATCCAGGAATAAGTTCTAGATTATAGAAAACATATTTGCATTGAAATGGAGAAAACAGAATAAAAGGGAGGTACATTTCACTTGGGCAGAATCTAATAAAGTGGGACAGATTTCTTACTATACACAATCTTCACCTCAAGACTCTAACACGCTCACCTAAGGGAGTATTACCTCTGGTATGCACTACCCAATTCTTGAAGTATTGGGTAATTGGGTATACTTCAGGTATGCTAGAGAGAAAAAAAAATTGAGAAACACCGATATTGGGATATGGGTATAGGCTATGTCTCAAACACCCCTTTTTCCAAGACACACACACACACACACACACACACACACACACACGCATGCAGATACACACACAAAATCTCTCACTTAGATGGAATTTTGATAGAAATTGGATGAAAGCTCGTTCAGGGTCCTATATGTGAAATAGCATTAGTGTTGTGATTAAGAGCACTGTCCCTAGACAGAGGTTGTCTAGACGTAATCTTGGGTGAATTACCAAATCTCCCTATAAACCAGTTTTCTCATCATGGAAAGAAAAAAGAAATAAATCTTATATCTCTAATAAGATTGTTGTGAGAATTAAATAAATTAATTTGTATAAAATACTTAGAAAATTGGTTGGCATGTAATATGTACTATTCATTGTTTATTGTTATTGTTGTTGGGTTTTTTTTTTTTTTTTTGAGACGGAGTCTTACTTCATCGCCCAGGCTGGGATGCAGTGGTACAATCTCGGTTCACTGCAACCTCCGCCTCCCGGGTTCAAGTGATTCTTCTGTCTCAGTCTCCTGAGTAGCTGGGACTATAGGCATATGCCACCACGCCTGGCTAATTTTTACATTTTTAGTAGACATGGGGTGTCAGCATATTGGCCAGGCTGGTCTTGAACTCCTGACCTCGTGATCCACCTGCCTCAGCCTCCCAAAGTGCTGGGATTACAGGCGTGAGCCACCGTGCTGGCCTCTTTATTTGTTTTTAAAACTACAAGAAACCTGGTGGGCAGGGTGGCTTACAACTATAATCCCAGTGCTTTGGGAGTCTGAGGCAGGAGGATCACTTGAGGCCAGTGGTTTGACACAAGCCTGGGCAATATAGTGAAACTCTGTCTCTACAAAAATGAAAATAAAAATAAATTAGCCAGGCATTGGTGGTATGCTCCTGTAGTCCTAGCTCCTTGGAAGGCTGAGGTGGGAAGATCCCTGGAACCCAGCAGTTTGAGCTGTGATGATACCACTGCACTCTATCTTGGGTGTCTCTAAAAATAAATAAATAAATAACATTTTTTAAAATTACAAGAAACCCTTTGTAAGAATTTGAAGGGCTATTATTCTTTATTTTTCAGTATTTTTTTAAAAAGATTCAGCATACATTTATTACATATCTACTGTGTCAGGTCCCATAGTAGGGTACATTAAGTCAACTGTGAGTATGATAGATTTTCAGCTGCCAACCCCTAAGCTCCCTAAATATGTTGATGGAAAAAACCTATTTAACCTTTAAAGATTTCTCTCTCTCTTTTGCTTTCTTTTTCTTTATCTTCATTTTTAAAACTTTTCTCATAACTCTTCAAATAGATACTATACACAACACATAGTTTAGAAAACTTGCCTAGCCATATTGCTTGAATACATACAACTTTGCAGATTAACTGAAGAGATAAAAACGCTCAGTGTTGTGAGTGAAAATTTAGGAGCCACATCTAAGAGCCCACCTTTATGTTGAGGTTGGCTTTTAAGTACTGAGTAGTGTCTGCAGATATGGACTTAATCCTAGAGCACATAGCTAAATCTGTTCATTCATGGAGGAAGTTTTGCTCTAGTCTATAGTTTTCCCCCATATTACTCTACCTCATCCTGAAGGAGAATAACATACAACCACTGATAACTTCTGTGGATCCAAAAACTATTTATATGTGTCACAGGGCAAATCCCCAAATCGTGATTCAGCCAGGCAGCCCATGTAGGTTCTTAGCTTCATGCAGGAAGGAATTCAAGAGCAAACAGAGAGTATAAAATGAAAGCAAGTTTGTTAAGGAAGTAAAGGAATAAAAGGGTGGCTACTCCATGAGCACAGCAGCCTCAAGGGCTGCTGGTTGGCTATTGTTTTGGTTATTTCTTGATCATATGCTAAACAAGGGGTGGATTATTTATGAGTTTTTTTGGGAAAGGGGTGGAGAGTTCACGGAACCAAGGGCTCCTCTCCTTTTCAGACCAATATACGGTAAACTTCCTGGAGTTGCCACGGCATTTGTAAACTGCTATGGCTGCTGGCGAAAGTTCTTTTAGTATGCTAATGTATTCTAATTAGTGTATAATGCACAGTGAAGACAACCAGAAGTTGCTTCCATTGCCATTTTGGTGTTGACTGGCTTTTTTTTTTTTTCTTTGAGACGGAGTCTCGATCTGTCTCCCAGGATGGAGTGCAGTGGCACGATCTCAGCTCACTGCAAGCTCTGCCTCCCGGGTTGACGCCATTCTCCTGCCTCAGCCTCCCGAGTAGCTGGGACTACAGGCGCCTGCCACCATGCCCAGCTAATGTTTTGTATTTTTAGTAGAGACGGGGTTTCACCGTGTTAGCCAGGATGGTCTCGATCGCCTAACCTCGTGATTTGCCTGCCTCAGCCTCCCAAAGTCCTGGTATTACAGGTGTGAGCCACCGCGCCCTGCCAATCAGCAGGGTTTTTGTGACCTGTGACTTGTGAAACAAGTCTGCCGAGTTCCTATCTCATGTGTATATTCCTGGTAACATTTGAACGTGACCAAAACTAATACTCCATTTCAATCAACACAAGTCACATGTACTTAAGTATTCAGAGATTGAAATCAAGGTATGTTATTCAAATGGTCTTATATTAGCATGCATATTCATTGAGCTCTTAAATTAAAATTATATACCATGAATATATGCATATCCTTTATGCATATCCTGAATGCATATTAGGAAGCTAAGATTTAAATATTGTATTTGGATTTTTGGGGGCAGAAAAGTAAATTGTGAACTAAATTTTTTTCTAAAATTATTTGTGATACTGTTTTCTCCGCTAAAGAAATGAAAATCCAAAAACACTCTGAGAATACATGTCATCATTATTTTTCTTAATGGAAAACATTCATTTTTATGTCAGAATTAAACTGTTAGTACCTCATAGGAAAACATTTTACGTATTGAGTATATGAAAAAATTTAGGATATTTAGGTAAACCCTTTAATGGATTTGAAGAAAATATTTAGTTTATCAAAGGAAAATATTCAAGAAGTTAAAATTAAATTTAAAAAATAAAAAACATAAAACTTTCTAAGATACTTATTCTAGTAGACAGCTTAGTAACAAATACTTTACAAAGTCATCTTTTAATTTTGTTCTAAAGTATTTATTAAAATATATTCTTAACATATTAAAGAAACACTGTTTGGAATACAGTCAGTACTTCATATAGTTCAATATTTAAAAGTGCTTAAAAATGTATATGTAGATATCCATTTACTTATATATTTAATACTAATGTAGATGGCAACATGGTAGCTATATGTTTAAACTAATAGGTGTCTGATTATAATAACAAAAATAGGATTTTCATATAGTTTCAGAAGTCAGATATTTTTGAAGAAAGGCAAATTTCATATCAGAGACATGCATATGATTCCCCAACTCAGAAGCAGTCTACCACAGAGGTAAGAGTTGTTTCTGAACATGCACAGACTGCTGTGATTTGCAACTCCATGATCTCAGTCTTGGGACAAGTTGCATAACTTGCTCCTGCATAATATACCTAGAAGGTTCAATAATCATTTTGGGGAGACTGACTAAACAATGAGCAAACCTAAGAATCAGTTTTTTCATTTTCTCAAGGTACTTGATAAAGCAGGTAAACATAAAGGTAAATATTATGGTTGTTTATAATTGTTATTTACATTATTATTGTTTATTAGATATTAAGATTATGGCTTCAAATTATTATTTGACATTATAAATATTTGATGCTATCATAAATATTAATTAGAAGTCATAAACTTAATAATATCTAACAAACAATAATAATATAAATAACAGTTATAAACAATCACAACTCTTGCCAGGCCTTCCAAATGGTTGAGCAATGAAAATAGCTTAACCAAAATTTCTCCCTTTAACAGTCATATAAAAGCTACAGTAGTGCATTTTTAAAATAAAATAAAATATCAGAGACAGAATTAAAACACTTTGAAAAATAAGTTTAAAATAACTTGTTCAAATTCTCCTAGAATATTTAACACTGGTATTCTGTTAAAACCTGCTTACTATAAAACTAATGTCAATGAGATCTACATTCATTCATAATATTTATAAACAAATCAGTATTATTTTTAAATATTAGCATTAAATAACATAAGAAATTATGAGAAAAACAAACATTCATAAAAAATGTAAAGAAGGAATATGAGGACTCTAATTTCTAATAAATACCTTTAATTATGGTATTAATTATGATACATATACTATGTTTTTCCAGAGTGACATTTTAAAATTAAACTGTATTTTATTTATGTTTTACCTGTAAAAGTGTACTAACACTGTAATGCCAGATAGATAGATATAGATAGATAGATAATAGATAAAACAGCTCTTTGAATACTTCTCGGTTTCAAATTTGCAGAAAATATTGTAGGATGTTTTTCTTGTTTCAAAGCTTTATTTTCCTAAAAATAAGTACAAAGTTCTGTTTTATGATAATCTCTGACATTTTGAGTCTTCCGGAGTAAATCAGTTATTTTAATTTAAAAGTGTTTTAAATGTCTGTTACAAAATATTTTTCATATATATGCAATTACCTGTGTTTTCACATTTGTTCAAACAGATTTGTATTAATATGCAATTTTTTTAAGCAAACTAAAGATATGCCTCAATTTTTTTGATTTTCTAAATTAGCAATTCTTCTCTCCTGGCAAACCATAAACTGTTTCAAGAATGTCACTTTCTGCTCAGCTACAGAGATATCTTTGTAAAGAGCATAATTTCTAAGAATGTGGAGATTAACACATGTGAGAGTCACTCACATAGTTATTATTTTATTTAAATATAACTTCTCCATAGTTACATCATAATGTAGCTTCCATTCATCTGCTTAATAGTCTTAATATAATGTAATCTCAAGGTAATCGCTAACCTAAGAGCAACCTCTGCTGGCAAACAGAGGTTGAGCTGCAAGCAGTTTTACAGTAGTTTTACAATGCTTTTTCACTATGCCAGATTAACAAGTATATTTTGGAGAGGGTTTTAACATTTTAATTTTATACAGCAGTGTGAAAAATTGTATAGTTTCAACTTAAAATTTAAAATGAAGGTAACCATAAGTGTTTTTAAGATTAAGTAAAAATCAGAAATTCTATGTTAAAAGCTTGATTTTAAATTCTCAGCTTTGGAGTTTGAGACCCATGTATAAAGTACAGTTAAATGGGGATAAGAGCTCAAATTTCACAGAACTCTTCAGAATATTAATAAGAAAATGTTATATCAAAAAGTTTATTATAAAATACAAAGTACTATATAAATAAGTAAATTCTAAATTTTAAAGATGATTTCAATATAATGAACAAAACAGACATGATTAATAAATTTTTTCCAGGTAAATATAATTGTAAATGAGAGGTCGTATACAGAGAAGGGACAAGAAAATACTTTTTTTAAGAAGCATATAAAAGAAATGTTACCTAGATAAAACTTTCAAACATTACGTCTATTAAATATACACTCACTCTTGTGTTTATGTTACTAAAGCACACAGAGTTGAACCATAAAATGTGAGTTGCATACTAGTCCATAATTACTCAGTAAATATATGTAATTGCCTTGTCTTTTGGGTTAGGTACTATGGAGGAATATCATGTAAAGGCATACACATCTACCATGGTAAAATTAGATCCACAAAAATAACACACTTGTACAATAGTGAATAACTCAGATCTGCAAACACTGTGTGACCGTTTAACTATACAGCCTATATCCATTTGACTGCTGTATTTATTTTGTGTAGAATCATCCCTCTATACTTCATCGGAACTTCTTCATATGGCCTAGAAAACATGTAATATCTTATGTCTAGTGATTTTTCAATACAGAGCCACTTATACAACAGAACTCTCTAAATCTGACTCATACTTTCCAAATGTACTTCCTACATGATTTTGTCATTCACGTTTACCTACCGTACCAATTTTTTGGACAAACCTTGGCACTTTCTTCTTAACAGTAATAGTAGCTAATATGAAAGCCCAGTGCAATAGTTCTCAAAATGTGATCAAGACTCCTGGAAGTCCCAAAACACATCCATGGGGGTTATGAGGTCAAAACTATTTTTGTAATGCTAAAATGTAGTTTCCAATTTTCATAGCGTTGACATTTGCATTCAAGGTGCAAAAACAGTGATGAAGAAAACTGATGGTTTCTGGGCACAAATCAAGGAAGTTGTACCATACTGTACTATTAGTCACTGTATTCTTCACCACCACACACTCATAGTTAAAAAAAAAAAAAAAAGCCAGATTCAGATTCACATAAGGATGGCCATGAAGCATGGAAAGTGTGTATAAGCGCTTCTGCTGCACACTAAAGTATGATGATCATCATGAGAAACAGCAGTTATTCAATTATGTGATGTGATTTTAGAGTTGAACTAGTTGCTTTTGCTTTTTACATGGAAAATCATTTTTACTTGAAAGAACAATTGACAGACTAACTACAATTATTCAGAGGATATTTGGCAGAAATGCTTTTAAAAATGAACAAAGTAAGCTTACCCTTAAAAGAAAACAACTGACATTGTTTGTTGTTAATAATAATATTCAAGATTTCGGCCGGGGGCGGTGGCTCACGCCTGTAATCCCAGCACTTTGGGAGGCCAAGGCGGGCGAATCACGAGGTCAAGAGATTGAGACCATCCTGGCTAACACAGTGAAACCCCGTCTCTACTAAAAATACACACACACAAAAAATTGGCCGGGCATGGTGTCAGATGCCTGTAGTCCCAGCTACTCAGGAGGCTAAGGTAGGAGAATGGCATGAACCCGGGAGGCAGAACTTGCAGTGAGCCGAGATCACGCCACTGCACTCCAGCCTGGGCAACAAAGTGAGACTCCGTCTCAAAAAAAAAAAAAGAAAAGAAAAAAAATTCAAGATTTCAAGCAAAAATAAGAAGTACAGAAAACTTACATCTGTCATCATAAGCTTAAGATCTTTCTAATAATTCGAGACTTCCCTAAAGCAATTGTTGGTGACAATAAATGTGATTTTCTGATGTTGCATAATAAAATGCATTTAACATTTGAAGATTGGCATAAATCAATAAACCAGCATTTTTCAAATGATCCTTATGTGATGATACAAAGTTATGCATCAGTAAGGATGCATTCAAAGAATATGATACATCATTGGATTTCAAGAGTTCAGAAAGTTCATTGATATGATTTCAGATTTCACCTTGCAGTTAAACATTAAGAAACTATCATATGCCAAGTTTTGGTGTAGCATTAAAGGAGAATAGCTACAATTACATGAAAAGCTTTTGAAAATATCCATCCCTTTTCCAACTACGTATCTGTGTGAGACCAGATTTTCTTTATATAGGTCTGCAAACACAGCATTGCGCACCAGATTGCATGCAGAAACAGATAGAATAATTCAGCTCTGTTTTATTAAGTCAAAGAGTACAGAGACCTGCAAAAATGTAAAACAATGCTATTTTTATCAATTAATATTTTTGTCTGTAAAACATAATCCCTTTTTCCTAAAAAAACATTACTTAGTTTAGCTTGTAATGAGTTTACTACTGCAATTTTAAATTAATAAAGAAATATTTTAAATTCTTATATGTAAATATTGATAACTATAATCTACATAAATCCTTTAGGGTGTACAATAATTTTTAAGTTGTAATTGCTATCTAAAACCCCCAGTTTTAGAACTATTGGCCTAATATGTGCTAGATATTAGTCTAATGTCTGCAGATACTGTTTTGTTTAATTCTCAAAACAACCTTGTGAATGAGTAATACTATTTTTATGATCTGTAGATAACATGGAGCACAGTAATTTGTCAGAGGCCTCATAGCTAAAACGGAGTGAAGACAGGATCTGAATGCTAGGTCCCATGCTTTTTACCACTTCCTGCCTCCATGGTTTTGGTAATGTTTCCCATAAAAGGCCTACCTCATGGTCTAAGTACTCCATTGAATAGCACTGTAGCACAAATTGTAAAGTAATAAAACAGAAGGCCTGAATTTGACTCCCAACTTTACTGTGAAATTCCTTGAGGATCAGTAGCTTAAAAATGAGCAAATTAATAACGTTCTTGTGACATGGTTCTTGCAATAAGGAAATTAAATAATACATATAAAATGTTTGCATTAACTGTAAAGCATGCAAAAAGTATTATTATTGCCTTTGCTTTATGTCCCATTTGCAGGCATTCCTCTCCACGGTCTTCTTAACTATCACCTTCCTCTCTGTTTCTTCTCTTTCTAAAGAACTACAGCACTTTTTTAGTGCACTCATTTACAACTCACTTTTCTTTTATATGTGTCTCTTACTCTCTACTTAAATAGCAGGCTCTGCTGGGCAGGGAACCTCTTATATCTAAGTGCATCCTCAGTTCCTTACCTCCAGCCCAATCTCCAGTAAGTTCCCAACAGACATTCTCGTATGAAGTCTCAGTCTGTTGCTTAGGTTTAGAATTAGCATGCACCAGGTCTTATTGATCCAGCCCAGCTTTTATTCAAGGACTAAAGCCAGTAAGGATCTTCTAACTGAGTTACATAAAAGCCATAGGTGAGTGATTTTAGAAAGGTGTCTATGTATCTGGATAAATTAAGGGAGACAAAATAAAGCCACAGTTAAAAGGAATGTGTTTATGAGTTATGCTTATAATGATGTATCATGAAAGCCTATCAATATGCACATTTTCCTGTTTTGACTCTTAGGCCCTTATTTATAGAGGGTGTAACTATTTTATGCATTGCCTTTGAGGTGTGCAAACCTTGATGATCTGTCACCCAGACTGGAGTGCAGTGGCACAATCTTGGCTCACTGCAAACTCCGCCTCCCAAGTTCAAGTGATTCTCCTGCCTTGGCTTCTTGAGTAGCTGGGATTACAGGAGCCTGCCACCACGCCCAGCTAATTTTTGTATTTTTAGTAGAAATGAGGTTTCACCATGTTGACCAGCCTGGTCTTGACCTCCTAACCTCAGGTGATCCACCTGCCTTGGCCTCCCAAAGTGCTGGGATTACAGGTGTGAGCCACCGCACCTTGCCGCCCTTCCAATAAATTAAAAATGTATTCGATGTATATGAATAATCATCATTTTTTCTTACTTCACATTCTTTTGCAAATCTTTACCTTTAAGTATCATCAGACCTCTTTCACTGGAACATTTAATTGTTCATCTTCAGTTCACTGATGCATCAGAGTGTCATTTCTGATAAAATATCAGCTCACTTACTGTATCAAAATAAAATTGTTGTGCAGTAATTTAATGACATAGCTCTTTCCTTTATGAGCTCTGAAAATATCTCATTAAGAGTTTCACAAATTACCACAATAACTTATGCTGACATGCTCATTTATTCTCATTTATGAATAAATCTGGTTGACAAGTCTAAGGAAATATTGCAGGGAATTCCTGGCCTCTGATATATGTCAGGCATCATTAGAGAATCTCAAAGTGGGGATTATCTGAGCACAACCACTTGACTATAAAAGCAAAATATTAGATTCCATCAAAGTTTCCACAAAAAAATGTACTTGTCATCTGACACTTGTCCATGGTACAATATGGAGATGTTCTTACTTCCCACTCATCAATAATCACAGTGATCTCCTCCATCTGCCAAATGCTTCATAACAGAAAACAGTCCTGTACTGTGGCATTTTTCTGTCTTTAGAATATTATTATGTGATTTGTTTTACTTTTTAATTATGATAGGCCACTCTCAGTGATTATTTTTCAGAAAAGAAAAAAATAAATGTAGAAAATTATTTGGGGATTGAGTCCAACACATTTTATAGACAATAAGTACAAATTAATATTGTTGTGAAAGTGAATAATAGACAAAAAGTTGTACTTCAATTTCTGGGATTTTTAAAAAGTTACTTTAATTGCCTAAGCAAATGAAGGTGAATGTTTAAAATATAACATGGGGTATATATTTTTATTTAATTAAATATCTATGAAAGGAATATTAATTAAATACTTAACAAAAACTAATAAAAACTAATAAAATAATTTGTCTTTTAAGAGATTATGGTCCAATACATGTTGATAATATTTAAAGAAAGATATTCACGAATCACCCAATTTGTTTCCACATTTTAATAGTTCTCTTCCTTTTAAAATGTCTTTTTATTTTCTTCTTTACAAATTTGTTTAAGAATTACAAAAGAGCAGTGTGCATGATTAGCCTGTCTATAGTAACATTCTTATTTTTTTACAGCTTCAAACTCATTTTATATATTTATGGTGTAAAAAGATTGTCTCTGATGTGGATCCTATTTTATAGTATGCAGGTAACATGTGAAAGTGCTTTGGCCATTATTAGATTCAAATATTTAAAGCTTATGAATCAAAATCTATTATTCAGTTTCTTTGTTTGTCCAGTGGCCTTCATTACATAGTTAAGTTATTAAATATAATATATTATAAACATTAAAATAATATTAAAAATATATTATTTTTTCAGACAAGGTCTCAATTTTCTTACTGAAGAACTTCTATTAACAACATAGTTAAGTACGGTTCTTGAGTACCCCTCCTATCTCATCTCTGACTATGCTCATCTACCTTTACCATATTCTTGTTACACTGCACCTCTTTCCAGTTCTCCAAATAGCAAGCTCATCCTACTGCTTGTACCTCAGCATATGCTGTTTCCTCTGTCTGAAACTCTCTTCTCCCAGATCTTCAGAGGTAAAGCTTTCTCATCATGCAGATCTCAGCTTAAGAGTCATATCCTCAGATATGCTTTTGCTGAACATCTTCCTAGATATAGACCAAATATGAAATCACTTTTTATTACATTTTTCTGTTTTCTATCACAACCTGGAATAAATTTATTTGTCCACTTATTTTTTTTTTATCTTCTTCTCTCCCAAAGGAAAAAAAAAAAGAAAAAGAAAAGCAACAGCATAAAACATGACCTTTGTTTCCTTCATCAGTGTTACATCACACAATATAGTACCTGACTTCTGGAATGTCTTCATTACTGGATAAATGAATGAATGAATAAATAAAGGATTATAAAATCATGATATCTAAAAAACAAATTCTAGAACAAAAGGCAGATAACAAAACAAAACATATTTTAAAACATGTTAAATGCTGTAAAAAATATTTTTTAATGGCCATAGAAACATGAAGAAGGAAACAATGTTCTGCAAGTGGAAAGGTGGATAAGCCTCACAAATGCATGAAATACATGAGTTGCACCTAATTACTAGAAAGATTATATAATTTTTCAGCCATACCAAGAAGCATTTAAAAGCAAAAGGAGGAAAACAAACATAAACTGGGAAATAACAATTTGGAGTAGGGGCAGTGTGGAAGAGAGCAGAGAAGCTGAAAAAGAGACGATTTCAGCATAGCAGAGCATAATACAAATTATAAAATGTGTACAAAGAAATATAGATTTTATCCTAGAGGCAGTAGATTCTATTAAAACATGCGAATGGCAAGGTGACATTTAGAGTTTTAAGATGGAGAGTAAACATTTAATGTTTTGTAAAACTTCCCTAAGTTCCTATAAGCAGACTTGAGAGGGGAAAGAATGCAGCAGAGTAGGAAAGTAGGGAAAAACGTGAGGAATGAGATGATAAGGCTGTGCTTGTGAAGTTGCGTTTCTTCACAAAAAGATCCGCTGCACAGGTTATCTGGTCTTCCCCTACATTCAAGGGTCTGCAGACTGTATGAAAATACAAATGGGTTAAAACAAAGATGTGAAAATTCTAAGGGGTGCAGGGAGAAAAGGAGAGGGAATACAAAAAGAAAGTCTTTGGGTTCAAATGAGATAATATCTAAGACAATGTTTTTAAAAGAAATGGCATAGAAAAAATTATTCTGAAAAGACAGAGAACACATAGAAAGCCAGACTGCTCTAACTTGTTTTAGAACCTCTGGTGACAGATTGATGCATGCACTGACACATAAATACTCAGTATGGTTTTACAGAACTATGAGTGTATATAATTTCTTTGCCTTTATCCAGAATGAAAGAAGACAACAAATAAAACAAACAAAAGCAAATGTAAATTCTCTACATTTTTAGTTAGATCAATGCAACATGTGCAAATCTGACTTATGAACTTGTGAATATCATGTTCTATTTTAAACATCTTTTACTAAAAATTTCACTGGAATTGGCGAAGAAGAGCCATTATCAAGGAAGATTTTCTTGTTAAGATTTAGGATAACTAAGCCATATAAGGGTAAAACAAAAATAAATACCGATCATGTTGGACCCTGTGCATTAGCTGGGGAAGCAGGACTCTTTATTACTGTCTTTCATACTCCTAAGGAACGCTAGCCTCTTTACAAACTGAGCATAAAGTGGTCCTCTCTCCCTCTTTTAAAATGCAGAGCTGTTCTGTTCTGCTCAAACAACTTTTGCAATAATGTCTTTACCAGTGAAAGTGAAGAATAATTCATCTAATTGAAACTTAGAATGCTATAGATAGGCAGAAAGTAATTACCTATGATACAAACTGGCCAGGTTCCTGGGAATAACATCCATATCTTTATGAGAAATGGTATGAAATCATTCGAGACCATGAACATCAGGCCATCCATTTACATCTTATCTGCACTTCTCAGAGTTCTACAGGATGCATAAACAGGAGTAGAGTAAATATGAACAGCAAGGTAATCCTCCCATTATATTCAGCACCAGTGAAATCCTACTGTGTCTAGTTTCACACCCCAGAACTTAAGAAGAAGGAAGTGAGCTCAGGATAGAATAAAATAAATAAATGAAGTATTAAAAAAATGGGAAAATTCTAAGAAGGATTAAAAGAACTTATTTCAGCTTGAGAAGGACTGATGAAAGGGACATTATTAATAGTCTTCAATGAAGAGTTGTTCCACAGATTGTGGTGACCAGCTATTTCCCATTTTCATTGAAAACATAACAGAGAAAAATGAATTTTAATTGTTAAACAGGGAGGGAAGAAAGAAACTTTTGATAATGGAAAAGGCTGTTCAACACTAAGTGAGTTCCAAAGGATTTCAGAATATTGCAGTTGTGGAAATCTTTTAAAAATAGACTTTTAACTACATCAGGTTTGCAGGTCAAGAGAAGGACAAGATGACCTATTAAGATGATTTCCATGACTGCAATTCAAAGACTCTATTAAAAAGGAGGGCAGGATATCCATTAATCACTAAATAATAACTTCTCTTCTTGAAGTTATTTATTTAATTTGATTGTATAAAGGTTTTCATTATGTGAGAATGAGGGAAGCAGTTTATTCTTCATTTCTAGTTCACAAAACATACCCCTGTGAAAGGTCATTTTACTTTGTCCTTCTCTTGACCTCCACCTCATATATTTAAAAGTCTGTTTTTAAAAGTTTTCCACAATTGTAATATTTTAAAATTCTTTAAACCCATTGAGTGTTGAACATTCTTATCCATTATCAAAAGCTTTGATTTCATGTGAAATGAAATCAACGTCATGCAGCAGAAATAAGCAAGGGAAAACTTTGCATAGCTACTAACTTAACCCATCTCTAGCAGTGTGGGAAAGCTTTGGACTAGAAAATGTAGAGTAAGGCTTCTCAACTTTAGCATGCATATAAATCACGAAGAGTTGTGTTAAAAATGCAGATCCATGGATCAAGCCCTCAGAGTCTAATTCAGCTGGTCTGAAGTAGATCCAAGAATCTGTATTTTCAGCAACATCCCACAGTGCAGATTAAGGACCATAATATCAGAAACAATTATCTAGAAACTTTGGTTCCAGGTCACATGTATATTTACTCAATATTTTTGTTCTAATAAATCATATAGATAGGTAGATAGACATAATTAAACTATTCTATGAATATGAAGTCATAAAATCATCACAGAAAAATTATTTATAAACAAAATTGTTCCTGAAGCTCCTTTAAATCACTCATAAAATACAGTATAATATTGTGGCATACGAAAACTTGTATAGTGATGTAAACACAACCAATGGCTTAAGAATTATTTTGATACACCAAGGCATATCTAAGTACTAAAGGTAATTTTTTTTCCAAAGCATTAGAAAAAATGCTTTGAAAAAAGCTTCTGCATCCCGCAAGAAACAATCAGCAGATTGAAAAGGCAACCTATGACTTGTGGAATGAGAGAAAATATTTGAAAACCATATATCTGGCTGGGTGCAGTGGCTCAGGCCTGCAAAACCAGGACTTTAGGAGGCCGAGGTGGGCGGATCATTTGAGATCAGGAGTTCAAGACCAGCCTGGGCAATATGGTGAAATCCCCTTCTCTACAAAAAATACAAACATTAGCTGGGCATGGTGGCACGCACCTCAAGTCCCAACTACTGGGGAGGCTGAGATGGGAGGATGACTTGAGCCTGGGAGGCAGCGGTTGCAGTGAGCCGAGATGGCCCCACTGCACTCCAGCCTAAGTGACAGAGACAGAAGTTCCCAAAATAAATAAATACATAGAAAAGAAAAGAAAACCATATCTCTGTTAAGAGGTTTGCTATGGTCTGAATACTTGCATCCCCTTCAAATTCATATGTTGAAACTTAATCCCCCATTTGATGGTATTAAGACTTGGGGCCTTTGAAGTTGATTAGATCGTGAGGACTCCACCATCATGAATGAGATCACTGCCCTTATAAAAGAGGTACCAGGGAGCTTGATTGTCCCTTTGCCTTTCCACTGTGTGAGCATACAGCTAAAAGCCACCATGTATAAGGAATGAACTTTTACCAGACACTGAATCTGCTGTTGTCTTGATCTTAAACTTTCCAGTGACTAGAACTTCAGAAATAATTTTCTATTTACAAATTACCTAGTCTAATGTGTTTTGTTATGGCAGCCTAAACTAAGACAGCGTTAATATCCTACATATACTGTAAGGAATTCAAACAACTCAATAGGAAAAAAACAAATAACATAATTTTTAAATGGAAAAAAGGACTTTAATAAACATTTATCAAAAGAAAACATAAATGACCAATAGATATATGAAAACATGTTCAACATCACTAATTATCAAGGTAATGCACATCAAAAGCACAGGAAGATATCACCTCACACCTGTTAGGATGGTTATTTTCAAAAGATAAAACATAAGTATTTTGTAAGGATGTATAGAAAAGTGAACATTTGTACACTGTTGGTAGAAATGTAAGTAGATACAGCTGTTACAGAAAACAGTATGGAAGTTCCTCAAAAAATTAAAAACAGAATTACCATGTATCTAGCAATTCCCCTTCTGGATATATTTTCAAAGGAAATAAAGTCAGTGTGTTGAAGAGATATCTTCACTCTCATGTTCATTGTGGCATTCTTCACAATAGTCAAGATATGGAAACAACTTAAGTGTCCATTGACAACATATGGATGGATAAAGAAAATTTGTGTGTGTGTGTGCATGTGTGTGCACAAATATGTGTATATATACACACACACATTCACGCAAATTTTCTTCATTCATATGTTGTGTATGTGCATATGTATGCATATATACAGAGAGAGAGAGAGTCATGCACTATACACATATTATCACATAATGATGTTTTGGTCACTGATGAACCACATGTATGAGAGTGGTCCCACAAAATTTTAATACCATACGTTTACTATACATTTTATATATTTAGATATTTTTATCTACACAAATACTTACAATTTTGTTACAATTGCCTACAGTATGCAGTACAGGAACATGCTGTACAAGTTTGTAGCCTAGGAGCAATGGGCTATACCATATACCCTACATACATAGTAAGCTGTATCATCTAGGATGTGTAGGTACACTCTGATGTGCGCATAATGATGAAATCACCTAATGATGCATTTCTCAGAATGATCCCTATTTCTAACTTATATGTACGTATATACTACATATATATACAGGCCACATATATGTGCGTACATCACACACATGTACATACATCACATATATTACATATATGCACACACCACATGCATTACATATATGTACACACATCATACACATGTACATACATTACACATATGCATATGCATCACCTATATTACCTATATGTACATGCATTATATATATATTACATATATGTACATATATTACATATATATAACACACATATAATGGAATATTTTTCAGCCTTAAAAAAGAAGGAAATCCTACCATTCGCAACAGTATGGATGAAACCAGAGAACATTATGCTACGTGAAAAAAGTCACACACAAGAAGATGAATGCTACATGATCTCACTTATATGTGAAATATAAAAAAAGCTAAACTCATAAAAGTAGAGAGTAGAACGGTGCTAGAAAGGGGCTAAGAATGGAAAGAAATGGGAAGATATTGGCCAAAGGATACAAAGTTTAAGTTGTGCAAGATGAATAAGCTCTAGTGATCTAATGTACAGCATGGTGACTATAATCAATAATACTTTATTGTATATTTAAAATGTGCTAATCTTCTTAAGTATCTCACCATACACACAAAATAATGGTAACTGAGAGGTGATGGATGTATTAATTAGCTTAATTCTTGGAAGAAAGTTACACATATATAAAATATCATGTTGTACATTTTAAATATATATTATTTTTATTTGTCAATTATATTTCAATAAAGCCAGTATTAAAAAGGATTAGTATTCACACTATACTGCCATTAAGTGAATTTGTAAATTTCCGACTATGAATGTGGAATTGGTGGATAATTCTAAAATGACTATGCTTGCCAACAGAGTTTAATATTAATCCTGTGTAACTGATCATGTTAATAGTTTCAAATATGTTTGTATTAAATGAAATAATAAATGTGGTAACACCTAAAATAGGGTCTGTTGCTTTGAAGATGCTCAATATGTTTTTGTCTAAATTTGAAAAAAGAAACTAATTATAATGACTAACAGTTTTTATTTTGTTTTGTTTTGTGAACGCTATGGATAACTTGATGACTAGGTTCAAAATTCTCCATCATTGCCTTCTCATCAAAATCTCATCTCACCGAACATCTCTTTAATGCAGTCAAAGACTGGTCTTATGACGTATTAGGCTCTCATTACAGAGTTAGACTATAAAAGCAACTATTGATGAATTAGATGCTTATTTGATGTGATTTGCTTGTAATGCCATTTGGCCATTTTCCACTTTGGGTCTCAGTGTTCTCAATTAGAGGGTTTGGACTATATGAACTCAAAATTTTGTTGCCAGCTTTAAATTTCTATGATTTGACAGTTTTTATATTCTTTTGTTTTCTCCCAAGTTACAAACAACAGGTGACTAGTTCCAGTGTCCAATCAGACAATTCATTTTTTCATTCTGAACCACACTTCAAAAGGCAGTATGGAAAAGTGGTTAAGGTCATAGTTATTGAAATAATTAATACCTGGATTTGCAAACTGACAATAAAATTTGTTACCTCTATGATTTTGTGAGCAGTTATTCAGTCTTCTCAAAGTTATTTTTATCAATTTAAATGGGTAAAATATTGTCTACTTCTCACAGGTGTTGAAAAAAATCAACCACTATAAAGAATTTATGATGCCTGTATTATACTAAGCACTCACTGATTGATAGATGTTAGTTTAATTATTTTATCTTAAAATGGTCATTGCCACCTCTCCTGAAACTGACTTCTTTATAATTTTTGTTTATATGAGAATCAAAAACACATCAGAACAAAATCATGAAAATCTCTGCAAAATTTGAATGCCAGCAATTCATTAGTTAGGATCCTGTTTATGCTTGTTAACAATAAAGACTGTTGGATTAAATGGAAGTCTTTCTACTATTAAGAGAAATTATGCTTGTATTTTCCAAATATTTGAATTGCACACACCACATTTTTCCCATAGAAAGCAGGTTTTTAAAAAGCATTCATCTTCTGTCAATAGTGATTATCTCTTTTAAAGTAATTTTATTTAAGAAATAAATTTACTAATAGCCTGGTCATGACCTTACGTTAGCCCTGTTCTAATAAAATAGATTTGATTATTTACATTAATAGTAACATAAATTGTATTGCATGAATTATGATAAAATTCAAATATAAAAACAGTACAAGCCAGTGGCATTATATTTTTCATATCAGGTTCATCAATTAATAACTTTTTAAATATGAAGTTTATATAAAACTTCCCCCAAGAGTGTAGCACAAAATATTCTTGTAAGTTAGTTAAAATTTTAAAGATTGCTTTTCTAGCCAAAAAAAATTTAAAAATCAGAATTATATGATGGAAATTTCTATTCCAATATCCATAGATTCATTATTAGTTACACAAATAATATGCTAAATTAAAGATTCTTCCACAATAAATCTTAAGAACTTGTAAATTTTGTCTATGACTTTTTTAATTTTTAATTTTTGTGGTTAAATAGTAGGTTCATATATTTATGGGGATACATAAGATATTTTGGCACAGGCATAAAATGCATAATTACCACATCATGAAAATTTGAGTATCCATCCCCTCAAGCATTTATCCTTTGTGTAACAAGTAATTCATTTATATTCTTTTAGTCATATCATCTGTCAATCCCACTGCTGTGTATATATACCCAAAAGAGAGAGAATGAGTATATCAAAGAGATGCCTGCACTCCCATGTTTGCTGAAGCACTGTTCACAATAGCCAAGATTTAGAAGCAACCTAAGTGGCCCATTAATCGATGAATGGAGAAAGAATATGTTGTACTTATATACAATGGAATACTATAAAAAAGAATGAGATTCTGTCATTTGCAATGACATGGATGGAACTGGAGGTCATTATGTTAAGTCAAGGAACTTGTAACCTTTAAGCATAAGTCAGCAGCTAGCACAACTCTCTTTCTAGAGCCATTTATATTTAAAAAAATGTTTAGAGAAAGATTAACCTCAATTTTTTTCTTTGCAAAATATAGCCATTTCCAATAGGGAGGAGCATAATAGAAAATTCTCAACTTACTTTTCCCTCACCACTCCAGCTCAGGTTTAGAAATGTCATTATAAGCAGGTATCTACAATTGATGATTTAGAAGAAATAATCAAATAAGTCCCACAATTTGGAAGCCTTGAACTACAAGAGATTCTAATGGTCTGGAGAACTTACGGTTTCCTAGGTTAGTAACTTCCTGCCAAAATTATTTCAAATATAAAGGGAAACAAATTCCTTTGCTTATTATAATAAACTACCCACACAATTTACACTTATTCATCTCTTTAACTATATATAAAAATATATATGTATATGTATATGGTGTGTGTTTATATAATACATATGCATATTCTTACTCTATTTTGTGCCAACTGCTTGAAAATGTGTACTACAAATATCTGTTTTATTTTCTTAAAACAGATTTTTGTCAACCATGTTACATTTTCTGTTAATGTAGATTTACATTAGCAGTACTAACTCTAACAATATGAACACATTATATTGATAGTGCTAATAGAATATAGACATGAAAATGGTATTCTCACTATATTCATGAATATAATGTATATCATTTTCTAACATTTGAGGAGTATTGTTTAATATATATACTTTTTTTATTTTTATTTTTATTTTTTATTTTTTGAGACGTAGTCTTGCTCTGTCGCCAGGCTGGAGTGCAGTGGCGCAAACTCAGCTCACTGCAACCTCCGCCTCTCCAAGCTGGGACTACAGGTGTGCACCACTGCACCCGGCTAATTTTTTGTATTTTAGTACAGACAGGGTTTACAATTTTGGCCAGGATGGTCTTGATCTCCTGACCTCATGATCTGCCCACCTCAGCCTCCCAAAGTCCTGGGATTACAGGTGTGAGCCACCATGCCTGGCCAATATATACATTTTAATTTTAAGAGATTTATGACTGCATACGGATTATATCAGAACGTTTATGTTTTCATTCTATTGTATAAATTTTGTCTGTGACATTATTTCGGTGGGTTACAATTCTTTGTATAAGGTATTAATATCTCAAATATGAAACACCTTATGACCCTTTGTGGAACTCAGCCTATTTCTTCACAGAAAAAATATAGAAATAGAGGAAAACTTTATATTTTTGTCAATCCAGAAATGTCAGATGTGAAACTGGGTCCCTAACTTTTCCTTGAAGAGGAAGTTCTGCTTCTGGTAAGGCATGGTTCAGGGATAAATAAGGACATCACTGTTCTAGAAGGCAGGCTGTTCTCTGTCAGATACAAATGATCCCATGAGAATGAAGGAGATAATAAAAGGGGGAAAAATTGATCTGTCATCAGGCTGAAAAGTAATGCTTCAGACCTGCTATTTAGATCCCATATTTATGCTCTGAGATTGAGCAGCGCTGAGTAGTATCTCTCTGTAGAGTTTAGGTAACTGAGGAAGGAGACTTAGTATCAGAAAACAGAAATGCGAGAATGCCTCAGAGCAGAAAAGATTCTGCCTTCAGTGTATACACAAAATGGGAAGATAGCATTTAAATTAATATAGTCTTTGCTGTAGCAAGTTTTTCTTTTCCTCCATTCACAGGCTTCTATTTACCTATATTTCCTCCCTTTGGCAATTTAGAATTTTTGTTCTTTTGTACAGAAAGAAAACCATAAAAATAAAAACGAACTAGGATTCATGAAGTATTCATCCCTTGGAAATAAATGAGCATCACCTTACTGTATGCCTCCTAATGAATTCATCAACTTAGCTTACATTTCTATTGAAAATTGCAATATGTCAACTTGAAAAATGCCCTTTATGTATGAAGTAAACTGTTTACATTACACACAGATTTAAAAAGGGAAGCAATTCCACAACCTCAAATTCAGTGAAATTAGAGATCCCACCATATCTTGGTAGCCTGGAAGCAAATTGCAACCGATTTTGCAGAAGCTTTATGTTAGAATACAATAATAGCAAAGTGCTGGATCTTACCTTCAGGCCAACTTCAATACAGCATTTTAAAAATCATACTAAAAACTACAATAACCTGAATAAATAGAATGCGTTTTCTTTGTAAGATCTCAAAGTGTTTCTCCTAAATTATCTCATTTATTCTTGTGACATATTTCTATAGGGAGAGGAAATTAGTTTTGCATAATTTTAGTCTACAACTGACCAAACAACTTTCAGACAATCCTGACATTCTGGCACTGAAAGCTATAGCCAACTGGCTGCATGCTTGGTAGGCCAACAATAGCTGGGCTCTCTAATACACGCCTTTCAGTTGAGAGAAGAGTTGGTTTTATAGGGAAAGTAGGGTAGGTGATTGCCTAACACAGTGTGTTTGAGGAATGCTTGGAATACATTATATTATATATTATATATAATAATAATACTTTAATATGTACTCTGGTTTGGTAGAGGGTGCTTTCATATATCAAGGTTAATATATGAACATTTATATAAGTAATACATAAACATTTATATTATATTATTAGCATTAATATATGAAAACACTGCCTATCAAAATATAATAAATGAGAAAGATGTGGAGCAAGATGGCCAAATAGAAGGCTTGACAGATCACCCTCCTGGAAAGGACACAAATTTAACAACTATCTCCACACATCTAAAGCACATTTATAAGAACCAAAAATTAGATGAGCACACACAGTACCTGGTTTTAACTTCATATTGCTGAAAGAGGCACTGGAATTGTGTAGAAAAGGCAGTTTTGAATTTTCAACGGCCTTCCACCCGCCAACCTCCTACTGATCTCCCAGCAGTGACCACATGGTGTGGAGAGAGAATCTGTGGACTTGGCAGAGGGAGAGCGCAGCAATTATGAGACATTGCATTGAACTCAGTGCTGCCTTGTCATGGCAGAAAGCAAAATCAGCCTGAACTCAGGTGATGGCAGCCCATGGAGAAGGTATTTAAACCATCCCTAGTAAGAGAAGCATCGCCCATCTAAGCAATTGGAAGTTCCACCAAGCATTGCCACTAAGAGCTGAAGTGCTCTGGTGGCTCTAAAGAAATTTGAGAGACAATCTAGGCCACAAGAACTGCAACTTCTAGGTGAGTCCTAGTGCTGAACTGGGCTCAGTTCCAGTGGACTTGCATGCAATCTACTGAGACATCAGCTGGGACAGCTAAGGGAATGCTTGTGCCATCTCTTCCTCAACCCCAAGCTGCAGAGCTTGTGGCTCCAAAAAGGATTCCTTCCTTCCACTTGAGGAGAGGGAGGGAAGAGTTAACAAGAGATTCTTTAGCATTTTGGATACCAGCTCAGCCACAGCGCACAGGGCACCAGAGTAATGAGGCCCCTTTCCAGACCTTGGCTCCTGGAAGACATTTCTAGACAACCCTGAGGGGAACCAGCCAGAAGGGAACCAGCTGCCTTAAAGGAAAGGGCCAATTCCCAGGAGGACCCATCATCAACTGACTAAAGAAACTTTAGGCCCTGAATAGCGAGCAATAATACCCAGGTAGTAACACCAAAGGCCTTGGGTGAGCCTCTGAGATTTGATGGTTTCAGATGGGACTCAGCACATTCCCAGATGTGGTGGTTAAAGGAAGAGACTCTGCTTCAGAAAAGTTGAAGTAGAAGCAAAAGGGACTTTGTCTTCCATGTTAGGTACCAGCTCAGCCACAAGGGAGTAGAGAACCAAACAAGTTCCTGAGGTCCGTAATTCTAGGCCTTGCCTCTTGGATGGCATTTCTAGACCTACCCCAGGAAAGAGGGGAGCCCACTACCCTGAAGTGTGAGTTCCAGGCCAGGCAGCATTCACCGCAAGCTGACCGAAGAGTCTTTGGGCTCTAAGGAACATTGGTGGTAGACTTGGAGTACCTCCCATGTGCCTAGGCTCATGGTGACCATGGAGTGAAGCTCCCGTTCCTGTTGAAAGGGGAAGAAAAAGTGAGAAGAACTGCATCTTGTGGTTTGAGTGCCAGCTCAGCCACAGTAGAACACCAGGGAGACTTCTAAGATGTTTGACTTCAGTTCCGGGCCCCCAGATAGCAACTCTGGACATACCCAGAACCTGGGTGAACTCACCACCCTAAAGAGAAAAAAAAACAATCGTGGCTGGCTTCACCACCTGCTGATTGTAGAGCTCTAGGGCCTTGAACAAACACAGGTGGTAGTCAGGTAATGGTTATAGTGAACCTTGGGTGAGACCCAGTGCATCAGGTCTCACCTGACATGACACCAGTTGCGGTGGCCACAGGGGTGTTTGTGTCACCCCACCCCCAGCTCCAAAGCTTTGTTTTGGAGAAAGAAAGGGTGGAACCAAGAATCTCTGCCTAGAAATCTATGGAATTCTTCTGGATCTTATGCAAGACCATCAAGTTGGTACCTCTAGGAGTACGCAAGAACCATAGCGTTACTGGGCTTGGGGTGCCCCGCTAATGCAGATACAGCTTAGATCTCAACACCCAAGTCTTTTCAAATGAGTTATTGGCCTTAAAGAAGAGGTAGAAAAAGAGATAGGAGTAGAAAGATTATTTCAAGGGATAATAACAGAGAACTTCCCAAACCTAAAGAAAATATCAATATCCAAGTACAAGAAGGTCATAGAACACAAAGCAGATTTAATCCAACGAAAACTACATCAAGGCATTTAGTAATCAAACTCCCAAAGGTCAAGGATAAAGAAAGGATTCTAAAAGCAGCAAGAGAAAAGAAACAACATGCAATGGAGATCCCGTATATCTGATAGCAGACTTTTCAGTGGAAAACTTACAGGCCAGGAGCGAGTGGCATGACGTATTTAAAGTGCTGAAGGAAAAAATCTTTTATCCTATGTATTAGTCCGTTCTTGTATTGCTATAAAGAACTACCTGAGACAGAGTAATTTATAATGTAAAGATGTTTAATTGACTCACAGTTCTGCAGGCTGTACAAGAAGCATGGCTGGGGAGGCCTCAGGAAACTTACAATTATGGAAGAAGGTGAAGGGGAAGCAAGCACATCTTACATGGCCAGAGAATGAGGAAGAGGGTGAGCAGGGAGGTGCTACACACTTTTAAACAACCAAATCTTGTGAGAAGTCACTCACTATTACAAGAACAGCATGGGAGAAGTCTGCCCCCATGATTCAATTACCTCCTACCAGGCCTCTCCTCCAACACAGGGGATTACATTCAACATGAGATTTGGATGGGGACACACATATCACCCTAGAATAGTATATTCAGTGAAAATATCCATCATACATGAAGGAACAATAAATACATTTACAGAAAAACAGAACCTGAGGGATTTTATCAACATCAGAGCTGTCCTACAAGAAATGCTAAGGATAGTACTTTAATAAGCAAAAAAATGTTAGTGAGGAATAAATCTGTGAAGGTACAAAACTCACTAGTAATAGTAAGCACACAGAGAAACACAGTATATTATAATATAGTAACTGTATGTGTAAACTACTCTGACTAAAAAGACCAAGAAGTGAACCATTCAAAACTAATAGCTACAACATTTGAAGACATAGTACAATAAGATATAAATAGAAACAACAAAAAGTTAAAAAGCCGGTGGAACAGAGTTAACGTGTAGAGTTTTTATTAGTTTTCTTTTTGTTTGTTTATTTATGAAACAGTGTTATCACCTTGAAATAATGGGTTATAAGATAGTATTTGCAAGCCTAATGGTAAACTCGAGTCAAAAAATATGCAACCAATACACAAAAGAATAAAAAGCAAGAAATTAAATTATACCACCAGAGGAAGTCACCTTCACTAAAAGGAAGACACAATGGAAAGAAGAGAAGACCACAAAACAACTAGAAAACAACAAGAAGGCAGGAGTAAGTCCTTATTTATCAATAATAACGTTGAATGTAAGTGGACTAAACTTCAATCAAAAGACATAGTGATTGAATGGATAAATAAATAAGACCCAATGATCTGTTCCTTATAAGAAATACATTTCACCTGAAAGGACTCACAGAAACTGAAAATAAAGAGTTGGAAAAATTATTCCATGCCAAGGGAAACCAAAAAAGAGCAGGAATAGCTATACTTATATCAGACAAAATAGATTTCAAGACAAAAACTATAAGAAGAGACAAAGTACATGGCTAGCTAATGATAAAGTGGTCAATTCAGCAAGAGGATATAACAGTTGTAAATATGGGATCAGGTGTGATGGCTTATGCCTGGAATTCTAGCACTTTGGGATGTCGAGTTGGGCAGATCTCTTGAGCTCAGGAGTTTGAGACCAGCCTAGAAAACACGGTAAAACCACATCTCCACAAAATATATAAACATTAGCTGGGTGTGGTGATGCATGCCAGTAGTCTCAGATATTTGGGGCAGAAGGATCGCTTGAGCCCGGGCAGTACCGGTTGTAGTGAGTGGTGATTGTGCCGCTGCACTCCAGCCTGGGTGTCAGAGTAAGACCCTGTCTCAATAAACAAACAAACAAACAAACAAACAAACAAACAACTGTAAATATGCATGCATCCAACATTGGAGCACTCAGATATATAAAGCATATATTATTAGAGCTAAAGAGAGATACCTCAGTACAAAAATAGCTGGAGACTTCAACACTCCACTTTCAGCATTGGACAAATCTCAACAAACACTGTACTTAATCTGCACTATAGACCAAATGGACCTAAAATTTATTTACAGAACATTTAACTCAATAGCTACAGAATACACATTCTTTTCCCCAGCACATGGATCATTCTCAAGGATAGATCATATGACCACATGTTAGGTCACAAAACTAGTCTTAAAAAACGTTCAAAAAATTGAAATAATATAGAGCATCTTCTCTGACGACAATGGAGTAAAACTAGAAATCAATTAATAAAGCAATTTTGGAAACTATAAAAACACATGGAAATTAATATGTTCCTAAATGGCCAGTAGGTCAATGAAGCTTATCCACCATGATCAAGTGGGCTTCATCCCTGGGATGCAAGTCTGGTTCAATATATGCAAATCAATAAATGTAATCCAGCATATAAACAGAACCAAAGACAAAAACCACATGATTATCTCATAGATGCAGAAAAGGCCTTTGACAAAATTCAACAACCCTTCATGCTAAAAACTCTCAATAAATTAGGTATTGATGGGACATATCTCAAAATAATAAGAGCTATCTATGACAAACCCACAGCCAATATCATATTGAATGGGCAAAAACTGGAAGCATTCCCTTTGAAAACTGGCACAAGACAGGGATGCCATCTCTCACCACTCCTATTCAACATAGTGTTGGAAGTTCTGGCCAGGGCAATTAGGTAGAAGAAGGAAATAAAGGGTATTCAATTAGGAAAAGAGGAAGTCAAATTGTCCCTGTTTGCAGATGACATGATTGTATATCTAGAAAACCCCATTGTCTCAGCCCAAAATCTCCTTAAGCTGATAAGCAAATTCAGCAAAGTCTCAGGATACAAAATCAATGTACAAAAATCACAAGCATTCTTATACACCAATAACAGACAAACAGAGATCCAAATCATGAGTGAACTCCCATTCACAATTGCTTCAAAGAGAATAAAATACTTAGGAATCCAACTTACAAGGGACGTGAAGGACCTCTTCAAGGAGAACTACAAACCACTGCTCAATGAAATAAAAGAGGATACAAACAAATGGAAGAACATTCCATGCTCATGGGTAGGAAGAACAAATATCATGAAAATGGCCATATTGCCCAAGGTAATTTATAGATTCAATGCCATCCCCATCAAGCTACCAATGACTTTCTTCACAGAATTGGAAAAAACTACTTTCAAGTTCATATGGAACCAAAAAAGAGCCCGCGTCACCAAGTCAATCCTAAGCCAAAAGAACAAAGCTGGAGGCATCATGCTACCTGACTTCAAACTTTACTACAAGGCTACAGTAACCAAAACAGCATGGTACTGGTACCAAAACAGAGATATAGACCAATGGAACAGAACACAGCCCTCAGAAATAATGCTGCATATCTACAACTATCTGATCTTTGACAAACCTGAGAAAAACAAGCAATGGGGAAAGGATTCCCCATTTAATAAATGGTGCTGGGAAAACTGGCTAGCCATATGTAGAAAGCTGAAACTGGATCCCTTCCTTACACCTAACACAAAAATTAATTCAAGATGGACTAAAGACTTACATGTTAGACCTAAAACCATAAAAACCCTAGAAGAAGACCTAGGCATTACCATTCAGGACATAGGTATGGGCAAGGACTTCATGTCTAAAACACCAACAGCAATGGCAACAAAACCCAAAATTGACAAATGGGATCTAATTAAACTAAAGAGCTTCTGCACAACAAAAGAAACTACCATCAGAGTGAACAGGCAACCTACAAAATGGGAGAAAATTTTCGCAACCTACTCATCTGACAAAGGGCTAATATCCAGAATCTACAATGAACTCAAACAAATTTACAAGAAAAAAACAAACAACCCCATCAAAAAGTGGGTGAAGGACATGAACAGACACTTCTCAAAAGAAGACATTTATGCAGCCAAAAAACACATGAAAAAATGCTCACCATCACTGGCCATCAGAGAAATGCAAATCAAAACCACAATGAGATACCATCTCACACCAGTTAGAATGGCAATCATTAAAAAGTCAGGAAACAACAGGTACTGGAGAGGATGTGGAGAAATAGGAACACTTTTACACTGTTGGTGGGACTGTAAACTAGTTCAACCATTGTGGAAGACAGTGTGGCAATTCCTCAGGGATCTAGAACTAGAAATACCATTTGACCCAGCCATCCTGTTACTGGGTATATACCCAAAGGACTATAAATCATGCTGCTATAAAGACACATGCACACGTATGTTTACTGCGGCATTATTCACAATAGCAAAGACTTGGAACCAACCCAAATGTCCAACAATGATAGACTGGATTAAGAAAATGTGGCACATATACACCATGGAATACTATGCAGCCATAAAAAATGATGAGTTCATGTCCTTTGTAGGGACATGGATGAAATTGGAAATCATCATTCTCAGTAAACTATCGCAAGGACAAAAAACCAAACACCGCATGTTCTCACTCATAGGTGGGAATTGAACAATGAGAACACATGGACACAGGAAAGGGAACATCACACTCTGGGGACTGTTGTGGGGTGGGGGGAGAGGGGAGGGATAGCATTAGGAGATATACCTAATGATAAATGATGAGTTAATGGGTGCAGCACACCAGCATGGCACATGTATACATATGTAACTAACCTGCACATTGTGCACATGTACCCTAAAACTTAAAGTATAATAATAATTAAATAAAAAAAATAAAAATAAAAATAAAAAAATATAATTTCACTTACAACAGCTGCAAATAAAATTAAATTCCTAGGAATTAAACAAGGAAGTGAACACTTTTACACTGTTGGTGGGACTGTAAACCAGTTCAACCATTGTGGAAGTCAGTGTGGCGATTCCTCAGGGATCTAGAACTAGAAATATCATTTGATCCAGCCATCCCATTACTGGGTATATACCCAAGGGACTATAAATCATGCTGCTATAAAGACACATGCACACGTATGTTTACTGTGGCATTATTCACAATAGCAAAGACTTGGAACCAACCCAAATGTCCAACAATGATAGACTGGATTAAGAAAATGTGGCACATATACACCATGGAATACTATGCAGCCATAAAAAATGATGAGTTCATGTCCTTTGTAGGGACATGGATGAAATTGGAAATCATCATTCTCAGTAAACTATCGCAAGAACAAAAAACCAAACACTGCATATTCTCACTCATAGGTGGGAATTGAACAATGAGATCACATGGACACAGGAAGGGGAATATCACACTCTGGGGACTGTGGTGGGGTGGGGGGAGGGGGGAAGGATAGCATTGGGAGATATACCTAATGCTAGATGACGAGTTAGTGGGTGCAGCGCACCAGCATGGCACATGTATACATATGTAACTAACCTGCACAATGTGCACATGTACCCTAAAACTTAAAGTATAATAAAAAATAATAATAATAATAAATAAATAAATAAATAAATAAATGATCTCTACCATGAAAACTATAAAAAAAGATGTAAAAAATTAAAGACACAAAAAATGGAAGGATATTTTATGTTCATGGTTTCGAAGAATCAATATTGTTAAAGTGTTTCTACTACCCAAAGCAATCTACTGATTTAATGCAATCCCTATCAAAATACTGATGCCATTCTTAACAGAAACAGGAAAAAAACTGTCATAAAATGTATATGGAACCATAAATACCCAGAATAGGCAAAGCTATTAAAAGCAAAAAGAATAAAACTGGAGAAATCACATTACCTGACTTCCAACTATAGTACAGAACTATAGTAACCAAAACAGCATGATGCTGGCATAGACACTGATGCATAGTTAGTAGAACAGAATAGAGAACCCAGAGATATATCTATACGTCTACAGTAAACTCATTTTTGACAAAAGTCCCAAGAACATATATTGGAGAAATGACTGTCTCTTCAATAAATGGTGCTGGGAAAACTTGATATCCATAGGCAAAATAATGAAACTCGACCCTTATCTCTCATCATGTACAAAAGCCAAATAGAAATGGATTAAATACTGCAATCTAAGATCTCAAAATATGAAACTACTAAAAGGAAACCTTGAGGAAACTTTTCAGCACATTGGACTTGGTAAAGATGTTTTGAGTAATACCCTACAAGCACAGGCAACCAAAGCAAACATGGAAAAATGGGATCACATCAAGTTATAAACTTCTGCACAGCAAAGGAAACAATCAACAAAGTGAAGAGACACCCACAGAATGGGAGAAAATATTTCCAAACCACCCATCAGACAAGAGATTAATTAACAGAATACATAAGTAGCTCAAGCAACACTATAGGAAGAAAATCAATAATCTAATTAAAAAATGGGCAAAAGACCTGACTAGACATTTCTCAAAAGAAGACATGCAAGTAACCAACAGGTATATGAAAATGTGCTTAATATTACTAATCATCATACAAATGCAGATCAAAACTACAATGAGATATCATCTCACCCCAGTTTAAAAGGCTTTTATCCAAAAGTGGGGCAATAACAAATGCTGGAGAGGATGTGGAGAAAAGGCAACCCATGTACATTGTTGGTAGGAATGTAAGTTACATTGTTGGTAGGAATGTAAGTTAGCCGTTATGAAGAACAGTTTGGAGGTTCCTCAAAAAACTAAAAATAGAGCTACCATACAATGCAGCAATCCCACTCTTAGGTACATACACAAAAGAAAGGAAATCAGTATATCAAAGAGATATCTGCACTTCCTTGTTTGTTGCTGCACTATTCACAGTGGCTAAGATTTGGAAGCAACCTAAGTGTCCATCAACAGATGAATGGATAAAGAAAATGTGGTACATATACACGATGGTATATTATTCAGCCATAAAAGGAATGAGATCCTGTCATTTGCAACAACATAGATGGAACTGAAGGTCATTATGTTAAGTGAAATAAGCCAAGCACAGAAAGACAGACTTGGCATGTTCTCACTTATTTGTGGAGGCTAAAATTTAAAAGTAGAAGGATAGTTACCAGAGGCTGCAAAGTGTAGTGGGGGTTTGGGGGAAATTGTGGATAGTTAACAGTTACAAAAAGGTATTTAGAAGGAATGAACAAGACTGAGTACTTGCCAGCACAACAGAGTGACTACAGTCAGAAATAATTTAATTGTACATTTAAAAATAACTCAGAGAGTATAATCGGATTGTTTGTAACACTAAGGATAAATGCTTGAGATGATAGATATCCCATTTATCCTGATGTGATTATTACACATTCCATATTCATATCAAAATTGCTCATGCAACCCATAAATATATACACCTACTATGCACCCACAAAAATTTTTAAAGTGCAATATATGGTGAAATGCCAATTATTAATAGTATTAAACTAATATTATCAATGCTAATCCATGAACACACCCCCTATCAAAGCACAATGTGTTCTAATATATAAAATTTCACTATTGGGATTTATGCAGCAAGGTCTTCTTACATATACTGTGTTACACTGGGTATTTCAGATAGCACAGGTACTGCCGTACAAGTTACATGTTAGTTTATAAATAATTATAAAGATCTCAGCATGATAATTTTATCAATAATTTTATTAATTATTAGTTTTCAATAAAAGAGAAAGGTGCCAATTAGATTTGGATAGGGAAGATAAAATTAAGATTTTCCTAAGAATTTCATAATTAAGCTGCCATTTATTCTAATATTGTAATAGGCCTGAACAAAGACAACCAAAGACATTTAGGCAAATGTGGATCTTTGGAATTCAAGAGAAGTGGCAAGAAGGCATAGCAGAGAGTACAGTAAGGAAGGAACTTTTATCAAAAGAAAAGTTGATGAAAACATACTATAATAATTTTCAGTATTTTTGCACATTATTAGAGCTATAAATGAGACTTCTGTAACTCTGAGTTTTGTAGGTTGTTCAGGCCTTATCCTTTGGTATTTAGCTTATATCTAGAATTGCTCTCTGGTGAGCATATGGAACCAAACATATGAGTAAATTCAAGAATATCTAAGCAATTTTGACTCACCTCCTGGTCCAAAACAATGTCCATGTATTTTGAAAGTTTGCCAGAACATAGTGACATCTCTGGACAACGTAGACTGTGGTAGCTATGTGGTAGCCACCATTCAAGAGAAATTAGTTATGTAAACCAAGTTTACTATCATTAGGGATATCACAACTACTACAAGATTATTTTACGTACAGCAAAAAAGATACTAAAATAGTTAGTCTTTGTTTTATTTAAACTATATGAAGTAAATAAGTGAAGGGCCAAATTACCCAAACCACATCCATCTTTCCACTTAGTACAAGAAAAAATGTCATATTGACATGAAAATTTACAAATGAAGATACCTATCTAGGAAAAATAAAAAACTTGTCTCTTGTCCACCAGAAACTAGTTAATTTTTTATCTCGCTAAATACATTCTGATTTTTTCTGTTTGTTTTCTATGACTATTGCAAGATAGAGCATTTCTTCACATGCCGTCGTCTTCCTCATACTAAATTCCCATTAATACTTTCTCGCTCTCTCCACTCTTCATATATATATATATATATATATATATATATATATATATATATATATATATATATATAAATGCCAAAGGAAACAAGCATAAATTAAGCCAGATATCTCTTTAGGACTGCCCACCAGAGACAAACTTTATTTCTGCCTAAAGTCTTTAGTAAAATGATATATTTTAATTTTCAATATAGTCTTACTCCCAATCTCATAATTATGTTCTACACTTTTATTTATCCCTGGGCTTGCATTCTGGCCCCATCTCCTTGTTACTAATTTCACAGAGAGAAAACTATTTAGATACCTGAATATAATTTAACACACATAATGGAATAGGGATAAAAACCCAAAACCCACTTCTTAGAATAAATTATAAAAATAAGAATAAATTATTAAAAATGAAAATACCTAAAATAGTGACTAACAAACGAGGTGCCAAGTGAATGGTGGCTTTCTCTCTTTGTTTTAGTTCAAGGGGAAAATAGCATGTGCTTTGAAAAATCAAGGTGATGAGATAGACAGTGCTTTAAGTTTAAAATGAGAATAATAATATTTAAATACCTGTTCCATCATTTAATAGCTACTGAACACACACAAGTCATTCAAAATCCCTGGAACTCAGTATTTTTCCATGTAAAACAGGGATAATACCTGTTTTGTTTTCATTATGATACTGTTATAAGAAAAAATTAAATATGTTTGAGAGTATTTTAAAATATACACCTTTATTATTGTTGCCTTATCATATATTAATTAATCTGCTAGGCATTTCTGAGGCTACAAATAGATACAATAATAGAGCATTGGTCTCTGTTTTCAAGGCTCTTAAAAGAAAGCATTAAAAAAAGAGATTTATTTGTGAGAAAAATGAGATAATCCAATGAGGTTAAACTGAGACTCTTAAAAAATTTATAAACTCTTGATCTCAGAGTAACAGTCAGCTAGGGTCATCTTTTCTGGCATATAAAATCTATTATAAAAGTGTATTAATAGCACAAAATCATAAACCCTCTGTAGCCTTTGAAAATGACTTTCTCAAAAAAGAAATGTTCTGCTTGTATACATCTGTACTTCCTGTTGAAAGGCTGTTTATTCCTCAGTTACATAAAAATCTAGAAGTTATCTTTTTCACTCTGATATCTGGCTGTCAGTTTCTGGGACTCACTGTGCTGAAACACTATCTCAGACCATCAACAAATACTACATTTCCAGATCTTTAGCATTTATTGTTCCTGACATCTCTTGAGGCCACTGCCTGTACTTGTTTTCAGCCTCTGTGAATTAAACTGCCCAAGCTTTCATTAGGAGTCAAAGCAGAGGAGGTGGCATTCTGTAGATATCATGAGGTCGCCATCTATCTAAACATCTGTGCTGAATTTTTTGCCACAGGGTCTTGCATTGATTATTAGCTGGGATAAATCCCAAAATACTGTGTTTTCTAAAGAGAACCAGAACATGGCTTTGAACCCAGAGTAGATAACAGAAATGTTGCATAATTATAAATCATCTGCAGAATAAATTCATCTGCATTCATTTTTGGAAAGAAGACTATTCTTGTTTCTTTTATCATTTTCTTGTGCAGTGTGCAGCTTTAGGAAGGATAAAGCCAAAGGTCATTTGTTTCTATAATAGAAATACATCATCTTATTTCAACAAAGATATCTTCTGGCTTACATATATACCATTAAAATTGTATTATAATATATACATAAATTATGATTTGTTATAACATACTTGCTTTAGGTTTCTTGGAAAATCTTCTCTAAGTTTTTTTGTAATATATTTGTCTATTCAATTTACATGGTAGGATTCTTAGAATCATAACATTTAGAAATCATTTGGACCATTCCCTATTATTTTACAGAAGAAAGTGAAGCTTATAGTAAGTGAATTACCCAAGATTACTCTTCTAGTTAGTGATATCTTATTTTCTCATATTCAGTCAATAGATTTTTACCACAAAATGCTGCCTGCCTTGGGGGAGGGATCATTTTTTATTATTTCCTGAGGTTATTTTCTCTATTCCCTATATTCTTCGCCCTCTATCATGCCAATAAGGAAAATATGCATATTTTTGTTGTATATATTCAAGTTGCGGTTAAAAGAATGGTTTAAATAGTGGAAGGAAATAAAAAATGTGAGATTAACAGGCAAAAATTCACATAGAATTTTAATAAAAATCTGTTGAAGACAGACATGGGAAACTACATTTTGTACCAATGTTTATTCATAAATAGTAATCTATTTGAAAACTTCAACAACAATGTTTACTAAGCAAGTACCCTTATAAATGCTTTGATAATTTCACTTAGTATCAAGATAATTCTATTGCTTAGGTTTTATTTTTATCGTTCCTTTAAAATTTTTATTTTTAATTATTGTGGTACATAATAGTTGTATATACTTATGGGGTACATGTGATGTTTTGATACAGAGATACAATGTATTATGATCAAATTAGGGTAATTGGGGTATCTGTTACCTCAATCATTTATCATTTCTTTGTGTTAGGAACATTCCAATCCCACTTTTTTACTTATTTTAAGATGTACAATAAATTATTGTTAACTATAGTCACTCTTTTGTGCTACTGAATACTAAATCTTAATCATTCTATCTAACTGTATTTTTAAGCCCATTAACCATCCCCACTTTATCCTTCTCTCCCCCACTACCCTTCCCAGTATCTGGTAACCATCGCTGCATTCTATATCTTTCTCAGCTCAATTTATTTTTTTTTTTAGCTCTTACATATAAGTGAGAACATCCAATATTTGTCTTTCTGTGACTGGCTTATTATACTTAACATAAAGACCTCTAGTTTCATCCATGTTGTTGCAAATGACAGGATCTCATTTATTTTACAGCTGAATGATATTCCATTGTATATATGTAGCATATTTTCTTTGTCCATTCATCTGTTGATGGATACAGGTTGCTTCCATATATTGGCTTTATGAATAGTGCTGGAATAAACATGGGAGTTCAGATATCTCTTGGATATACTGTTTCCTTTCTTTTTAAATTATACTCAGCACTGGGATTGCTGGATCATATGTTAGTTTTATCTTTAGTTTTTGAGGAATCTCCTTACTCTTCCCCATAGTGGCTGTACTAATTTACCTTCTCACCAATAGTGTATGAAGGTTTCCCTTTCTGACATCCTCACCAGCATTCATTATTGCCATTTTTTGGTTAAAAGCCTAGCAGGGGTAAGATGGTATCTCATTGTAGGTTTGATTTGCATTTATCTAATAATTAGTAATGTCGAACATTTTTTCATGTACTTTTGGCCATTTGTATGTCTTCTTTTCAGAAATGTCTATTCAGATCTCTTGCGCATTTTTAAAATTTATTTTTTATTTTTAATTGTGGTAGGTACATAGTAGTTATATATATGGGGCACAGGAGATGTTTTGATACAGTCTTGCAATGTGAAATAAACATATCATGGAGAATGGGGTATCTATCTCCTCAAGCATTTATCCTTTGAGTTATGAACAATCCAATTACACTCTGTAAGTTATTTTAAAATGTATAATTAAGTTATTGTACACTGTTGGTGGGAGTGTAAATTAGTACAACCACTACAGAGAACAGTTTGGAGGTTCTTCAAAAAATTAAAAACTGAGCTGCTATAAGATCCAGCAATTCCACTGCTGGGTAGATGCCAAAAACAAACAAACAAACAAAAGGAAATAAGTATATCCAAAAGATGTCTGCACTCCTATGTTTGTTGCAATACTGTTTACCACAGATATGATTTGGAAGCAGTCTAAGTGTTCATCAACAGATGAATGGATAAATAAATTGTGGTAAATTATTTTTTAGTTTTAATTTTTATAGATTTAGGGATACAAGTGTAACTTTGTTACATGGATATATCAATTAGCGGCTTTTAGTTTACCATCACCTCAATAGTGTCCATTATACCCAATAGCTAATTTTTCATCCCTCACCTCGCCTTCCATTATCTTATCTTTTGGAGTTTCCAATGTCTATTATTCCATTCTGTATGTCCATATGTACCCATTGTTAAGCTTCCACTTGTAAGTGAGGACATAAGATATTTGACTTTCTGTTTCCGCATTATGTCATTTAGGATAATGGCCTCCAATCCCACCAATGTCAGTGCAAAAGACATAATTTCATTTTTTATAACTGAGTAGTATTCTATGGTATCTAAAAGTATTGCCATTACTTTTAATGGCAAAAACTGCAATTTATTGCTATTATGCTCCAATTGTGTTTGTACCAACCTATACTAACTTACATTCCAATCAACAGTTTCTGAGGGTTCTCCTTTCTCCATATCTTTGTTAGGATTTGTTATTACCTTTCTTTTGAATAAAAGCATTTTAACTGGGTTAAGATAATATATCATTGTAGTTTTGATTTGTATTTCTCTTCTTATTAGTGATATTGAACATTTTTTCATGTCCCTGTTGGCCATGTATATGTCTTCTTTTTGAGAAATGCCTATTCAGATCAATCATAATTTTTTTTCTATTGAGTGGTTCAAATTCTTTATATTTTTGGGTTATTAATTCCTCAGCAAATAAGTAGTGTACAAATGTATTCCCTTGTTCTGTGGGTTGTCTCTTCACTTTGCTTGATTGTTTCCTTTGCTGTGCAAAAGCTTTTTAGCTTGATATGATCCCGGGGTTTCTTTGCTTTGGTTCCCTGTGCTTTTGAGGTCAGACTCAATAAATCTTCGCTCAGACCAATGACTTGGAGTGTATCCCCAGAGTTGTCTTTTTTTGTTTGTTTTGTTTTGAGACAGAGTCTCATTCTGCCACCCAGGCTGGAGTGCAGTGACACGATCTCAGCTCACTGCAACCTCTGCTCCCCAGGCTCAAATGATGAGCCTCAGCCTCCAGAGTAGCTGGGAATACAGACGGGTGCCACCATGCCAAGCTAATTTTTGAATTTTTGGTAGACATGGGGTTTCACCATGTTGCTCAGGCTGGTCTTGAACTCCTGAGCTCAAGCGGTCCACCCACCTTGACCTCCCAAAGGGTCAGGATTACAGACATGAGCCACAGTGCCCAGCTGGATTTAAGTCTTTAGATCCATTTTGATTTGATTTTTTATATAATGAAAGATAGGGGTCCAGTTTCACTCCTCTACATATGGATATACAGTTTCTTCAGCAGTATTTATATATATATATAAAAAACCTGTCCTTTCACTGATGTATATTTTTGGCATCTTTGTCAAAAATGAATTCACTGTAAATGTATGGATTTGTTTCTGGGTTCTCTACTCTGTTCCATTGGTCCATGTGCCTGTTTCTATGTCAGTACCATGCTGTTTTGGTTACTATAGTTTAATAGTATAGTTTGAAGTCGGGTAATGTGATTCTTCCAGCTGTCTTCTTTTTGCTCAGGATGGCTTTGACTATATTCTGTGTCGTTTGTGGTTCCGTATACATTTTAAAATTATTTTTATATTTCTTTGAAGAATTGACATTGGGATTTTAAGAGGCATTGCTTTGAATTTGTAGATTGCTTTACGTAATATGCACAGTTTAACAATATTGATTCATCCAGGACTATCTTTTCGTTTTTTGTGTGTCCTCTTCCATTTCTTGCATCAATGTTTCCATTTTTATTACAGGGATCTTTCACTTCTTTGGTTAATTTTTAGGTTTTTTACTTTATTTGTAGCTATTGTAAATGAGCTTACTTGCTGTATTTCTTTTTCAGATTGTTTGCTGTTGCCATACAAAAATGCTACTGATTTTTGTATGCTGATTTTGTTTACTACTTATAATTTTACCAAATTTATCAGTTCTAATAGTTTTTTTTGGTGGCATCTTTAGGTTTTTCCAAATAAAAGATTATATTGTCTACAAACAAAGATAATTTTATTTCTTCCTTTTTAATTTGGGTGTCCTTTATTTCTTTCTCTTGTCTGATTATGATGGCTATGACTTCCAGAACTATGTTATTGATGAATAAAAGTGGCAAAAGTGTGATATCCTTGTCTTGTTCCATATCTTAAAGGATCTTCAGATTATTCCCCTGTTTATTATGACACTAGTTGTGGGTTTGTCATATATAGCTTTTATTGTGCTGAGATATGTTTTTTCTATACCCAGTGTTTTTGAGAATATTTTTTATCATGAAGGGTTGTTGAATTTTTAGTATGCTTTTTGGCAGAAATTGAAATGATCACATTGTTTTTGTCTTTCATTCTGTTGATGTAACGTATCACACTTACTCATTGTGTATATTGAACCATCCTTGCATCCTTGGGATGAATCCTACTTGGTCATGATGAAGGATCTATTTGATGTGTTGTTGAATTCAAACTGTTAGTGTTTCATTGAGAATTTTAGCATTAATATTCATCAGATATATTAATCTTTAGTTTTCTTCTGTGTTGTGTCTTTTTCCAGTTTTAGTGTCAGGGTAATATTAGTCTCACAGAATACATTTGGAAGTATTGCCTCCTCCTCAATGTTTTTGAATAGTTTGTGTAGGATTAGTGTTAGTTCTTCTTTAAATGTTTGGCAGAATTCAGCAGCGAAGGCATCAAGTCCTGGGTTTTTCTTTGATGGGAGACTTTTAAATTATTACTATTGCTTCAATCTCATTACCTGTTTTTGTTCTCTTTAAATTTTGAATTTCTCTGTGGTTTAATCTTGGTAGGTTGTATGTGTTTAGTAACTTATTTATTTTTTTGAGGCTTTCCAGTTTATCGACATATAGTTGCTCATAGTAGTCTCTACTGATCTCTTGAATTTCTATGTTATCAAATGAAATGTCCCCTTATTCACCACAGGTTTGAGTTATTTGAGTCTTTTTTTTTTTCTTAGTCTGGCAAAGGTTTCTCAATTTTGTTTATCTTTTCAAAATAACTTTTCATTTCATTGATCTTTTGTATTTTTAGTCTTCATTTCTTTATTTCTGCTCTGATCTTTATTATTTATTTTCTTCTTCAACTAATTTTGGGTTTAGATTCTCTTGCTTTCTGAGTTCTTTAAGATGCATCATTAGGTTATCTGAAGTTTCTTTTTTATTTTTTCTTACTTTTCTAATGTATAATAGATGTTTATCACTATGAACTTCCCTGTTGGTACTGCTTCTGCATTTCCATTTTCATTTGACTTAAAATTTTTTTGAATTTTCTTCTTAATTTTTTCATTGACCTTATTGTTGTTCAGGACCATATTGCTTAATTTCCATGTGCTTGTATACTTTCCAAAGTACCTCTTGTTATTAATTTCTAGTCTTATTCTGTTGTGGTCAAAAAAATATTTGATATAATTTTCTTTATTTTAATTTTTGAGACTTGTTCTGTGGCCTAACATATAGTCTATCCTTGAAAATGTTCCCTGTGCGGGGGAGAAAAATGCATGTTCTGCAACTGTTATCATTTCTTTTTACAGAAGAGGAAAGTGAGTTGCTATATAACTTCACAATTAAAATGTATATGGCATTTTAATAGTATAAATATTTATTTTAATGAATTTTACATGTTTAAATTATTTAAGATATGTAGAACACGTATGTCATATGTCCTGTAATTACACATTTGTCTTAATATGACTCTGTGTTCCTGTGACCCCTATTTTTCTATATTCTAAGATCTTTGATGGAAATATTGAGGTATCTCAGAGGGTACCTAAGTAAAATTTAGTCACATAATTAGCCTACAATAAATACTACATCAATGAATAAATAAATGCATTAAATAACCAGCATTTGCTATAAATGGGTTAAAGAACAGTATTGCAATGGCTGATCAGTTTTCCTCCTTATAGAACTATTGTTCTCCCTAAAAACTTGCAGCTCCAAAACAACAATTAATTTTTTTTTTTTTACCTGTAACTCATCTTCAGTAGGCTTGGAAATAATTGATTTATAGAATTTTCAATTCAATCTCTCCCAAAAGATGAATTAAATTCTTTTTGTGTTTCTCTTACTGCTTGTATTTTACCTCATTAGGAAATCGAGGACTGTCTGATTAGCTTTTATCTAAATTTACTGTCACCTAACTACCTCAGAGACCAATGGTTTAACTAAGATTGGAAAATACAATTAATGAAATTATCAGAAAATATTTCCAATAAATTACTGTATCTCATTTACCTTCACAATTCCATAATCTGTCACAAACTTGGCTTACTTATCTACAAAAGCAGACTAATAATCTGTCATCCGTATTTAGGAAAGACTATTTTCTTCAACTTTCTTACTGAAATAATTAATTAGAAAATAATATTCTCCACCTGATCTTATGAAGGCACAAACTGAGAGCTTAGTTGAGGCAGAACCTAAGGACTTGAAAGCGTGTCTCTCTCATAACAGATGGAACATGTAGTATTGACGGTACCCCCAAAATCTTAACATACATAAATTAGGGGAAAAGAGTGGAATGAGAAGCATTATTCATTTCTTATCTCAAAATGAAGAATATTATCTCACTTATATTGTTAGGTCTTTTACCTCCATAGAAAACATCTGCTTTAACTTGTATTAGTACAGCAGGATGTAAGCAGACCTGGTAAGTTCTAGGGACTTGAATTCAAATTATTTCTTTATCTGGGGCTCAAAGTTAATTTTTCAGATCTCTAACGTGGGCACACTTAAAACATTTCAACACTATATTCTGTTAATAGAGTTGTCAACATTAGAAGAAAAATTGAGAACTCCAGGAATTATTATATTTTTCTAGAGTTAATGAAATAGTTTCTACTAACATTCATTTCCAGTTCCCACCAACCCTGCGTCTATGATTAGCAGAGACATGTCATAGCAGAATTGTATTCCTAAAGCATGTAGTGAAGGAACCACCACTCTCCACTACAGTACTATATTGTTTCTACTTTAAGGTAAGACCATCATAACTTCCATTTCCTTAGCAATGGATTTCTTTCTGCATTGCTGACACTGCTGAATAAGAAAAAGCCGCAGATATTAACAGCAGCACAAACAATTGTCTGTATAATTTAGTTATTAAAATTTCTATGTAAAAGTAAAGATACTATAAAATATTCTTTTACAAAACAAAATTCTTATTACAAAAATACAAAATCACTGTGTTTTAATCCTCTTAAAACATCTCTCTTTAAAGAAAAATGGCACTAATGTTAAATTCACTGAAATAAAGCACATGTCATTAAAATTACATTGAGGCATTCTTGAAAGACACAGCACCACAGGCAATCCCAGGATGCCCTAGTGTCAGATTCTGTGAGTTAGTCAGCCACATATTTAACACTATAGAAGTATGAGGTTGGTAAATGGAACTTTCATGAGTCAAGAGCATAACCTTCCAATTATGTTCAAAAATTTCTTCTTGTATAAAAGATAATATGATGTACTAGGAAATACATATGTAAAAGCAAAATTCTTCAAATCACATTACTTTTAAAGACTTTTTTTAAGTGTGCAGAAACAATTTCTTTTTTACAAAGTGATTCACAGGTACAGAAGACTGTAATGTAAGCCAGCTGCCCTACCCTTGCTTCCATCTGTCAACTCCTTTCATAACTCAAAGTTCTGATGTAAACTGAAAGCAAGCATCAGGCACACATAAATGAATAGTTTTTCCTATGTATTTTTTGTCATATCACATTGTGGTGTTTTGACTGCCACACAGATTGATATAGCAGATAAAATAATAAGGTACTGAGAGGTAACCAGTACAACAGAACTAAACACAATTGAAGCATATATGGTAGCAACACTTGTCTATAGCAGAGCTACTGCAATGTTGTATTTTCTGTTTACATAATATAAATATAATGGCTCTTGTAACTTTTTGTTTTCTTTTTGTAGTCCTATAATATTTCATGTTATGTTGCTTCTTTCCATGTTCTATTGTATATTCCATATAAATAATAGTGCTTATATTTAGTATAGACTTGTATAAAGTCTTCATTATGTATTCCTCATTACAGTTTTCCTAACTCTATGGAGGCTACATCCAATAAATATGCAAAGCTATCCCTAATTGTGAGTTTTTTAAACTTGTGGGATTCTAAAACAATCCCAACTGTAAAAATATGTCCTATTAACTACTATTATTGTATAATAAATTTGAATTATGGTTTCTGATATATCCAAATAAACATATGTACAACTTCATCAATACCATATTAGAGGATACATTCTAGAATTTCATTAATTGAACAGAATCACCTGGAGAAACTTAAGATTTTTCTAGTCTTCAATTAAGAAATGAACTAATACTTATATGATATTTACCTATTAACCAAAATTAAAATGCTCTAGAATAAAAAAAATCATGTGAGAATGCACATATTTATTCTGAAATATACATGTGTGAAAGCAGAATTTAATCAATACCCTGCAGTATTGAGTTTAGGTCTCAAATCTAAATTGGTGAACTATGAGCTTTGCAGATATTTCCTAGGGAACAATTTACAACAACCTTGGGCTACAATGGATATGTGAATGGAAACCTGGTGATTTTCCAGATTTCTTTGTTGTTTAGCTTTGAATTCACCCAGGGAATTGCTTAAGCCAGCAATATAACCTTCAAGGGAAAAAATAGGTAGCATATGTCCAGCGTGCCTAGATAGTTTCAAGTTTCAAAACAAGGTAATGATGATGCTTTAACTCAAATATGATGCTGAAGTATTATACACAAACTTACATCTGTAATACCATCCAAGTAAACAGTAAGAGATAAGTTAATGTTTAAAAAATGAATAACTACATGGGGGTATCCATCTATCTCTCTACTCTAGCAGATCATATATAAGCTTGTGCAGGGAATGGTTTTCTTCTGTCTATTATAAAAATTGTATACTGAAAAATATTGTTAGTATATAGGTTTCTGATTTGAGGCCCTGTTTCTCTTAATCTCTATAATCTACCTGAGAAACCAATTAATCCACATTCACTTCGGATGAATGAACTCAGATTTTTTTTTTTTTTTTTGAGACGGAGTCTCGCTCTGTCGCCCAGGCTGGAGTGCAGTGGCGGGATCTCGGCTCACTGCAAGCTCCGCCTCCCGGGTTCACGCCATTCTCCTGCCTCAGCCTCCCAAGTAGCTGGGACTACAGGCGCCCGCCACTACGCCCGGCTAATTTTTTGTATTTTTAGTAGAGACGGGGTTTCACCGTTTTGGCCGGGATGGTCTCGATCTCCTGACCTCGTGATCCGCCCGCCTCGGCCTCCCAAAGTGCTGGGATTACAGGCGTGAGCCACCGCGCCCGGCTTTTTTTTTTTTTTGAGATAGAGTCTCACTCTGTTGCCCAGGCTGGAGTACAGTGGTGCGATCTCGGCTCACTGCAACCTCTGCCTCCTGGGTTCAAGCAATTCTCCTGCATTCAAGCAATTCTTCTGCCTTAGCCTCCTGAGTAGCTGGGACTACAATCCCGTGCCATCATGCTTGGCTAATTTTTGTATTTTTAGTAGAGATGGGGTCTCACCATGTTGACCAGGCTTATCTCGAACTACTGACATCAAGTAATCCGCTCACCTCTGACTCCCAAAGTGCTGGGATTACAGGCGTGAGCTACCATGCTCGGTCCATGAACTTAGATTTTATATTTTTTAAGTATGGATATATAATAGTTGTAAAAATGTATGAAGTATATGTGGTATTTTGATACAAGCATACAATGTGTAATGATCAATCTGGGTAATTGTGATATCCTACATCTCAAACATTTATAATTTCTTTGTGTTAAAGGCATTCCAACTATATTCTTTTTGTTATTTTGAAATACACAATAAATTATTGTTGACTGTAGTGGTTCTATTGTGCTACCAAAAACTAGGTCTTATTCCTTCCATCTAGTTGTAAATTGTACCCATTAACCATTCCCTTTTTATTCCCCCAAACCCCCAGATGCCAACTATGGAAGACTATATCAGCAGCAGTTATTTCTGTGGAAACTAAAGCATTGGTGAGCTAATATCTCTCTACTGGGGCATTCACTAAATTCTTAGTCAGTCAGTGTTTTTACCAAAAAAAAAGGTATAACACTCCAAAACCAGTAGGTAATTATTTCAAACCTTTTCCGCATTCCTATTTCTTTGATTGTATGCTCCCTATGCTTGCTGTAAGATTTTTGTTTTAACAATTTATTATGTAATTTGGTTTGAATACTCTAGACCATTGTTTCCAAAAGTGTTCTTCCAAGATGTCTAGGAAATTTTACTACCGGATTTTATGAGGGATTGGCTTCTCAAGATAATTATTCATTTAACAAAAGCTTGATGAGAATCAACAAATACACCAGGTTTACAAGGATAACGTAGTTGCCAGTGAAAATTTATCAATCATTTCTCAGACTAGTGGAGGAAGATTGGCATATAAGCAAATGAATTACAATATGGATGATACTTACTGTGACCAAGGTACAAATTTAAGGCTTCAGAATATCTATCTTTGTGTATGAGTTAGAAAAAGCCTCCCAGGAGATATAGGATTTAAGAAAAAGCTCAAAAGTTGATTTTTCGGAGTAAAGAAGGGGGAAGCAACTCTGAAAAGAAAAAAAAAATAGCATGGCAACAGGCAAAGTCTAAGAAAAAAAGTATTGAGTTTGCAAATTGCTGAAAAATGTGTTAATAATTGACATTTATAGGAGACACAACAAAGGGTAAGACACAATACAATTAACTGGAGAGAAATAAAAATCAGACACACTGGGTAGAGGCCTATTTGTCAGGCTAATGAATTCTGATTGCTCTTGAAGGTAAAGGTAAGCTAATGTGGAGTGTCAATTACCATTTTAAAAAGCAATAGAGAAGAAGACTAATAAGGGGAGCTAACTACAAACAGGAAGACTAGGTACACCAAAGAGTAAGCAGTTAGAAAAGCTGCAGTGACAGATTATGAGTTTAACTCTGGCAGTGGCACTGCAGGTAGAGAGAAGCCAGGCGCAAATGACTGTCTCCGGGTTACAGCTCAGTCAAGAACACGGTGAGCACATTGTCGGCTTTTGTGTGTGTGTTCCTGTGGCCAAAAATCTTTCAAGATCCACCTGGTATGAGCTACATGTTTATAAAGCACTATTATTTAGACAATATAAAATTGCCATCTGTCTATACTCTCCTACAAACATTCTTCTAATTTCTGCATTTTCCACTGGGTATGCTACAGAACCAGCAGCTCTAATAGACGACAACTTCAATCTCCCATCTTCAGAAAAACCCCAGTTAACCATGGGATATTTTTTCTCAGCTATATTACCTTGGACATCTGTAGAAGATACTCTTCCTTCATTCACATGAGTATTAGACTGAGTCCCTTTATCACATTGCTTTCCAGTATAAATTTCAATAAGGATGAAAAAGTTAGGGTTCCTTAATTTAGTTCCTAACTTAAGTTAGGGGTCCTTAAGTTCCCAGGGAGAAAAGGCAGCAGAAATCCAGATTTGTATGCAAATTTTCCCACATGAAAAAATCTGAGTGCCAAATGGTTTATAGGCAACTAGTTTTCAGCAGTACCAGGCTCACAGCTGTTAGTAATGATACATATTTAGTGAAGTAATTGACCTAGTATATAAATATTCAGGTTTTTTGAGGGTAATTGTCATGGCAAACACCCTGTGAAGTTGATGGCCAGTGTGAGTTCATGGCAAGTTTGATTCACAGACCAGACCAGACAGATGCTATCAGACTAGAAAACAAAATTATGTAATCACTTTCCTTTTTCTGGTGAGATGCAAAAGAACCCGTGCAGAAGCTAATTTATCCTATCAACACATTTTAACTGAGCGCCTCATCTTTACATTCACCAAGCTGAAATTTTGAACAAGATAGACATGGCCCATAACTCACTTGGATATTACTTTACAATAGGGGTAGCAGAGACAAAATAAACAAACCAATAAATAAAATTATTACAACTTGTGAAAATGGCTGTAAAGTGAAAGGGAAAGATCAATTAGATCACATTCCAGCAGAGAACAGTGGGTTGAGGGAGGCAGGCAGCAACATCTCAGGTGAATCTACTCTCTGCCTGTCAGACACTTCATTTCCCACATGATATTAAGCTCATTCAGAAGAAACTAATCTTATTCATTCATTCTAAAAATATTTATTGAATTCTTATTGATCATTTAATTCTGAAAATTGGGAACACTGACACCAATTGTTCTCAAATACTAAGTAGGTCCTCTAATATTTATACTAATCAGACTAATTCCTCCTTTTTGATGCAGTACATTTATAGAAATGGAACAATTACACTTGCCTAACCCCTTTTCCATTTGCCCCAAGAATACTCACTAGTGGTGCTTGCAGCTGCAGCATTTACCCCAAGATAACTTTGTCACAAAAATATCTCACTTTTATTATTATTTTTGCATCTTTCTAGTATATCGACTTTGGAAACAAAAGACATCATTCTATTTATAGCATTCTGGTTTTAGTAGTGGGATTTACATTTCCAAAATACAATAATCCTCAATTGCTGTAAACGTCATATCCTAGAACATGTAGCATTCCTATGCATGATGTTAACATCATTCTGTAGCAGTTGCTGGCTGAAGATTCACTTGATGAATCTGATTTTTCCAAAGTAGACAGTTGTGATGATTTAGATGATTCTGATGTTAGCTTTGTTTAGAAGTAACTCCAAGAACAGTTTGTATATTTTATTTTCAAATTGAAAACCAGTAGGGGGCCAAGCGCGGTGGCTCACGCCTGTAATCCCAGCACTTTGGGAGGCCGAGGCGGGCAGATCACGAGGTCAGGAGATCGAGACCATCCTGGCTAACATGGTGAAACCCCATCTCTACTAAAAATACATAAAAAATTAGCTGGGCATGGTGGCAGGTGCCTGTAGTCCCAGCTACTCGGGAGGCTGAGGCAGAAGAATGGCGTGAACCTGGAGGCAGAGCTTGCAGTGAGCTGAGATCTCCCCACTGCACTCCAGCCTGGGCGACAGAGCAAGACTCCGACTCAAAAATAAAATAAAATAAAATAAAACCAGTCAGATTTGCTTCAGCCTCAAAGAGCATGTTTATGTAAAATTAAATGAGCACTGGCAGTGAGCTGCGCATTTTGTTTCTAACTGGGAAAAGGGTTAACAGTTTCTTTTGCTGTTGTTGTGATGGTTAAAAAAGGAAAACAAAGAAAAAATAAAAACACTCACTGTGATGGTTAATTTTATGCATCAACTTGACTGAGCTAAAGGATGCCCAGATAGCTGGTAAAACATTACTTCTGAGAGTATTTTTAAGTGTGTTTCTGGAAGAGATTAGCATTTGAATCAGTAGACAGAGTAAAGATTGCTTTCACCAACATTGGTAGACATCATCCAATCTGTTGAGGGTCCAAACAGAAAAAAAGGTAGAAGAAGGTCAAATTCGCTTACTGTTTGCATTGAGCTATCCATCTTCACCTGCCCTTGAACATTATTGCTCCTGGTTTATGGGTCTTTGGATTCAGGCAAGGACTTACACCATTTCTTATGCACCCTTATGCTTTCATGCCTTTGACTCAGACCAGAATTTAGACCATCAGTTCCCCTCTGGTTATCAGGCTTTTAGACTTGCATTTGAGACTGAATTGCACCCCAGCATTCCTGATTTTCCAGCTTGCAGACAGCATATCATGGAACTTCTCAATCTTCATAATCACACGAGACAATTCTCAAAATCTCTCTCTCTCTCTCCTATTCTGGAAAACTTTGACTAATACACTGACTTAAGTGCAACATCACCAGCAAATATATAATTTGAGAGCAGATTGAACAAGAAAATATAGCATAAAACATTGCTTCCACCTTACTTAAAAAGAAGTAATGAATTCATTGTTGTGAGAGAGTAACTTAATGTATCCAAAATTAGACAGTCTCCTTATTTAAACGTACTGCAGTTTTAGCAAAGTTAAAAATAAAATCAAATTTCAAAGTAAAACTAAGTTAAGTAAAAGTATTTTTCAAAAGTACTGAGTTGATTTTAAGATGTGGTTATAAGAATAACTTTTTGTAGCATTATGCAAAGAGATGCATGTGATTACTGTCAAGAATCAAAGAGGAAGAACAATCTACAAGAATAAAGAAAATACAATATTACTGAGTCCATTCATATTGATAACTTTTTTATATACAGAAATTTATTAATTCACTGAAAAAAACAGTCAACATCTTCTTTTTTATATGTATTGCTTATTAAAAGTAATACCACTGTTTATCCTCCTGTTCTTACAAGTTTTTCTGAAGTAAATCAATGTTCTATTTTCTTCTACTAAGATTAAGAACAATGGAGTGTAAAAATTACAGTTAAACACTTCCTTTTTCAATTTACATAGTTTCCCACTACTCTGAAGTCCTTTAAGTATCTAAGTGGATAACTCTATACAAACAATTACCAAAGTGAAAATTAGAAAGCCAGAACTTAAACTGAATGTACTAAGATGTGTTTTATAAATATTTCAAAAGAATAATTCATGAAAAATGAAACAACAGATCCTAAGAAAGGTAACGAATACATGTTCTTAGCATACACTCAAAAGACAGGAAAGAAAAGAGTTGGACTGAAAATTCTCTGAGCCTACTTCGTCAAAATATTGGGAAAAGAAAAAATAGAAAGGGCTGAAATAAGATTAAGTCTTTGTTAATGGATTTAGCTTCTGTGGCAATGAAGCGGCAAGAAATGAAGAAAGAAGGAAAATAAATAAATAATTTAAAAAATGTTTAAAAATGGTTATTAATGCCCCATATCTTGATTTAATTAAACAACAAGAAATATAACTTTTTACTTAAGAATTGTGATATTTTTGACATATGACATAAATATTTTATAATCAAGAATAAAAAGGATATTGTAGAGTAACTTTCTATAAAGAAATAAATTCTAAACCATTTTATGATGAGTGATTAGTTTGTTATGAACCCAGAGTCTTACAACCTCTAAGAACAAAATACGGGGAGCTAGAATAAGTCACAGAGTGTCTAGAAGTGTGACTATCTGAACTTCACTGAAGGAAAGATAGATATAATTGAAGGAAAGATAAATACCTATGTTTCCTTCAGAAAGATGTTGGCCACGGGATAGATTTTGATTCTAGCTGCGATAATAAAGGAGGTAGCACTAATGGTTTAAGGAGATGATGCTCTGATACTTTCTATCAGAGAGGCCTTGATTTAAATTTCAAACTCTCACATTCAAAGCTTTGTAACTTTGCCTAAGTCATTTGAATTCTGTCCTTAGTTTCATGATCTGTAAACAAAGCTATTAATACGCATTGTATAGGTTTTATGAAGATTAAATGTAATAATATAGGTAAATACAAAGGTCTTAGTACAGTGTCATATGGCAGTTGGCATTCAACAAATATTAGTTATTATTCTTTCACAGGTTTTAGTATGGTGTCAGTCCTGCATAATCAGTGTTCAGATACAGTACTTTAGTCTAACAGCACATTAATAATTTATACTAAGAAAAATAATGGGACTAACAGGTTGTAACAAGAATGTGTTGCTTAAAGCAAATGGCTAGATAAGGAGGCCAAGAAAAAATTCAATGTCAACAGCAACAGAAGCTGTTTATATATTAATCACAGGCTTCAAATTGGGCCTGGGGGTATGCCAAAGGGCAATAAATGAGTGTCAGGTCAGCAACATTAACATCAAGTGCCTAGATTCCTGCTCTTTTAGGCAAGACTGTGCTAAAATACGGAATAGTGGACTGTGTGTCATAGGTATATGCTTTATGAGAATATATTCTGTAGTCAATAATAACTTACTTATACATTTTAAAATAAAAGAGTGCAATTGGATTGTTTGTAACTCAAAGAATAAATGCTTGAGGGGATGGATACCCCATTCTCCATGATGTGCTTATTTCATATTGCAAGACTGTATCAAAACATCTCATGTATCCCATACATATATACACCCACAAAAATTAAAAATAAGAAAGAATTGTTAATAAAGAATATATTCTGGAAATGCAGTTGATTCCAGAGTTTCAGGTAAAACAGAAAGACAAAGAGTGCAGTAATGTAAATAAAGATGTGATCTCAAAAATTGTGTAGCTTTTCCTGTGTGTTTCAGGGACTGCTGGTTAGCCTTCCTAAAAAGCAAACAGAAGCTCACTTAGTATTTCCTTAAAAATCCTTCAATGGCTGACTCCTCAATTTCTATATCTATAAGGCTATTGCTACCTAGATAAGGGTTACCGAAACCGATATACTAGCATCCAGCTGTGCTGGAGGCACAAATTTTCCCAAAAGCAGCCTTCAGAAACTGTCAGATGAATGTCAAAATACTGGCTTGAGAATAAGTATCTAGAAGGCCTTGTGGAAAGTAATCCTGGTTCCTAGCGTAATATCTTCAAGAAGCTCCTGGATAAATCAGTAAATTTGGACTTGGGTAAAATAACTTTATGGCCCATTATTCACTGGCTAAACATGCGGGTTATATTTCAGATTTTTGTATGGAGTACCCAGGTCCACTAAGAAATAAATACCAACTGGAGTGCAGATGGAAAGATGCACAGAAATTATACACATTTATTGTGGATTTAATAGAGATTTAAATTCACAATTAAAGTTGTAAATGCTATGAATTTCCTATGACAGACAAGAAAAAATGAATAATGTTGGTAGACTGATTTGTTGAAGGGCTTTGTATTTTAAGGAAGCAAATCACTTATCTATTATAAGATTTAAAAACATTTTCTAATTTCTGTGCTTTATCTCTTCATGCTTGTGGAAGTTATGGTTTTCTTTGGCAATCATAAGTCTTAAATTTGATTAAACTTAAATTTAAATTTTTATCTTTTAGAGTTCTAACACTGCTATCTTATTTTTTGGAAAGATTTCTCCATAATATTATTTGTAAAAATTCTTCCATATTTTATAGTTGCTTTAAATTCCTACATCTTTTTTAGTTTCCTTCCTTCCTTCCTTCTTTCCCTCTCCCTCCCTCCCTCTCTCCCTCTCTCCTTCCTTCCTTTTCTTTCTTTCTTTCTCGTTCCTTCTCTCTCTCTCTTTCTTTCTCCTCTCCCTTCCCTCCCCTCCCCTTCCTTCCCCTCCCCTGCCTTCCCTTTCCTTCCCTTCCCTTCCATTCCCTTCCATTCCCTTCCCTTCCCCTTCCTTCCCTTCCCTTCTCTTCCCTTCCTCCCCCCTCCCTCCCTCTCTCCTCCCTCCCTCCCCCCTCTTTCTTTCCTTTCTTTCTTTTTCTTTCTCTCTCTCCTTCTTTCTTTCTTTCTTTTTCTTCCTTCTTTCTCTTTCTTTCTTTCTCTCTTCCCTTCCCTTCTCCCTCCTTCTCTCCCTCTCTCCCTCCTTTCTTCCTTCTTTCTGTCTTGCTCTATCACCCAGGCTGGTGCATGTAGCGGCATGATCATAGCACACTCTAACCACCAGCATCTGGAATTAGGCAATCTTCCTGCCTGACATCTGAGTAGATATAACTAGAGATGGGTACCACCACAACTATCTAACTTTTTTATTTATCAAATTTTTGCATAGAGACAAGATCTCACTATGTTGCCAAGCTGAATATTGTTATGTCTTTGAATCCATCTAGCAATTCATTTGGGGTACGATTTGAGAAAATTTCCAGAAAGCTTTTTTTCCCCATATGTATAGATATTTTCCCCAACACCTTTATTAAATAGTCCATCTTTTTCTTTTCAAGTCATAAATCATCATATGTTATATTCAGCAATACAATAGATAAGATTTTGGATTCTTTCATTTACCTATTTGTCTATCTACAGTGTTGGTATCTGTTTCAGCTACTGTAATTTTCAAGAATTTTTTATGTTTGGTTTTAAAGTGTTACTCTTCTCCACCCCAATACTTTTTTTCTTCAAAAGTTTAACATATAAATCTTCCAAATAAACAAACTTTAAATGTAGCATGTAAACCCACTCCCATACCAATTCCTTTTGGAATTTGATTTCTTCAGTTTCTTTGACTCACTGATGAAAATGAAGAAGTTAAATTCCTCACAGGAAGTGATAACCATCAGGGACTAGGTTATCTGGGAAAGAGACTTGGACACAGAGACAGCGTGCACAATGTTTATTAGGAAGATCTTTGTGCAAAAGAAGCTAAATGAAAGCTTTAGTGGTCAGAGGAGGAAGATGAGGTACTGCAGATCTAGTGACAGCCTCAGCCAACAGATTGAAAACTCTGGACTTGGAATGTCAAGTCAGTTTTGTCCTGAGATGGGCTGAAAAGATTAAGTTACTTCATCAGTTGGTCACTGAGTGTAAGGGACTAGGAAAAGGACATAGTTTTGGGCAAAGAGGCTTTTTTTCACCTATGGCAACTTCTAAAGGGGGTGACAGCTTAAGGTGGTCTTTCCATAGCATTTGTGGCAGCTGTGGCAATGACACTTTCATTGAAGAAGAATCTGGATGATACATCATAGTGCTCACTATACCACTTCACAGTATTGACTACACCACTTTACACTACAACACTTCACATTATTGACTCTTTTCATTCAGATACTCATATCTATTGATTCTGGTCTTTAATTTGACTGAAAGTAACAAACTATAATTTTCTTTATAAAAGTCTTGTATATTTGGATAAAATTTAATAATTCTACAGTTTTTATTGCTATGGGAATATTCTTTTTTTAAACCTTAATTTTTTTTTCCATTAAACAGAAGAAAGTTGTTGATTTCTTCATACGAATCCAACAATTTTCTTTAATTTCATTCACTCTTCTCTTTCTCTTTCTGTTGTTGTAGTTGTTGAATGCTTGATTCACATATTTTAGTCTCTTCTTCTATAATGAAAATATTGAAAAAAGTTTTCTCTGGAACCCTGCTCAGACCTTACTTTATATGTTTTGATTAGTTGCATTCTTAAAATATTTTTATTTTAAATATTCTGTAACTTTAGCTTTGTTTTCTCTTTAATTCAAGCTTACTTTGGAAGTTAAAAAATACTTAAATGGTTTAATATTTTTCTAAGTATTTTACATATCTATTGCCTTTGAAGAGTATGTCACATGAATTCTAATTTTAGGAAAATTTTTAGTTAACTTATCGTAGTTGCCACAAAAATAAAAAAAATGATGTGGGGTACACTCTTTTTTCTAGATGACTATTTTTTTAATCTGCTGTTTTTGTTTCCTTAACTATCTCTTACATTAGGTGTATGTTTTATTGTAGTAACTACACTTTTAATTTGTAACTTTTTAATGTTCTGATTGCTTTTTTATAGCAGCTTTCTTATCTTACAAATATGACTCTAACATCCTAAAAATATTTTTTAAAAATATTCGGTTTCATTCACTGATAACTTTTTAAATCTAACTTCATTTCTCTGTTAATTTTAGTGAATCTGTTCCTGCTGGATTTTAGTGACTTACTGAGAAAAGAAATAAAAAAAAAACACATATAGAATGAAAACAAAACATGAAAAACTAAATACAGAAATGACCATCCTTATACTGAACAGTAAAAATTGAAAGCATTCTTCTTGAGAACTAGAACAAGACAAGGATGCCCTCTCTCACCACTTGTAACCAATATAGTAATGAAATTACTAGCCAGAGCAATCAGGCAGGAGGAATAAATAAAAGGCATCCAAATAGGAAAAGAAATCAAACTGTCTCTCTCCATGGCTGATATAATTCTAAACCTAGAAAACCCTAAAATTCTGCCAAAAAGTTCCTGGAACTGATAATCAATGTACAATAATCAGTAGTATTTCTATATGCCAATAACATTCAAGCTGAGGGCTAAATTAAGAATGCAATCCCATTTACAATAGCCACAAAAATACTGGGACTACATCTAACCAAGGAGGTTAAAAATATCTACGAGGAGATCTACAAAACACTGCTAAAATAAACCATAAATAACACACACAAAAATTGAAAACATTCCATGCTCATGGATCTGAAGAATAAATGTCATTAAAATGGCCACATTGCCTAAAGCAATCTCCAGATTCAACACTATTCCTACCAAACTACCACTGTCATTTTTCACAGAATTGAAAAAACGATTCTAAAATTCCTATGGAACCCAAAGAGGGTCCACACAGCCAAAGCAATCCTAAGTAAAAAGAACAAAGCCAGGGGCATCATGTTAGCTGACTTCAAACTATACTATAAGCCTACAATAAACAAAACAGCATGGTACTGGTACAAAAACAGATGTATAAACCAATAGAACAGAATCGAGAACAAGAGAACCAGAAATAATGCCACAAATCTATAGCCTTCTAATATACAACAAAGTTGACAAAAATAAGCAATGGGAAAAAGAATCCATATTTAATTAATGGGGCTGAGATAACTGGCTAGCCATGTGCAGAAGAATGAAACTGGACTCCTACCTTTCACCCTACATGAAAATTAACCCAAGATGGGTTAAAGAGTTAAATGTAAGATCTCAAACCATAAGAATCCTAGAAGAAAATCCAGAAAACATCATTCTGGACATTGAGCTTGGGAGAGAATTTATGGTTAAGCTGTCAAAAGGAATTGCAAGAAAAATAAAAATTGGCCAGTGGGACCTAATTAAACTAAAGATCTTCTGCACAGAAACAGAAACTATCAACAAACAGACAACACACAGAAGGTGAGAAAATATTTGTAAACTATGTATCCAACAAATGTATAATATTCAGAATCTATAAGTAACTTAAACAATTGAACAAGCTTAAAACAAATGGCCCCATTTAAAAATAAGTAAAAGACATGAACAGACACTTCTCAAAAGGCAACATATCAACAGCCAACAAATGAAAAAATGGTCATCACCACTGATCATTAGAGAAATGCAAATCAAGACCACAATGATATATTATCTCACACCAATCAGACTATTTTTTGACTATTATTAAAAAGTCAAAAAAACAAGAGATGGCTGTGAGATTGTAGAGAAAAAGGACTGCTTTTACACTGTTGGTGGGAATGTAAATCAGTTCGGTCATTGTGGAAGACTGTGGCGATCTCTCAAAGACTTAAAGACAGAAATACCATTTGATCCGGCATTCTCATTACTGGGTTTATACCCAAAGGAATATAAATTGTTCTATTATAAAAACACATGCACATCTATATTCATCGCAGCACTATTCACAATAGCAAAGACATGCAATCAACTTCGTTTCCATCAATTGTGGACTGGATAAAGAAAATATGGCACATATATACCATGGAATACTACAGAGCCATAAAAATGAATGAAATCATGTCCTTTGCAGCAACATGGATACCACTGGAGGCCATTACTAAGCGAATTAATATGAAAACAGAAAGAAAAATACCTCATGTTCTTACTTACAAGTGGGAGCTATACACTGGATATTCATGAACATAAACATGCCAATAATAGACACTGGTGACTACTAGAGTGGGGAGGTAGCAGCTTTCTTGTTTTACAAATAGGACTCTAACATCTTAAAAACATGAGAAGTTATTCTATTTCATCCATTAACCCTTTTAAAAACCTTGTTTCTCTGTTAGTCTTAGTAAATTTGTTGGAGGAATGCAGGGGCTGAAAAACTAACTGTTGGATACTATGCTCACTACCTGGGTGACAGGACCATTTGTACCCAAAACTTGACATCACATAATATACCCAGGTAAAAAACATGCACATGTACCCCCCTGAATCTAAAGTAAAAGTTTTTTTAAAAATTAATTAATGGAAAATAGAATCAATGTCAGTTAAAAACAAAAGGAAAAAAGAAATGACTATATTTTTATAAAATATGTGTTTTAATAAATATCCTTTCCAGAGGAAAAAAAGAATTGTGGTAATATTTAGGACAACAGTAAATACACCTTATTTCTTATAATTATTACTATTATACTTTGAATATATGAGGATTTTATTTGTAATACTTGTTGATTTAGACCATAGAATGCTTTTATGGTTTTCTATGTTTCAGATGACAGAGGTTTAGATGTATTTACAGGAAATTTTTTGGTACTTTCTTTATAGTAAGTCCCTTTATACCAACATTGCTTGTTTGCTTGAAACTGGCACCAGAGATCACAAGGACCTAGATATTTGAAACCAGTTTCCCATTTTAAAAAATGCTAGAAGGGTTTCATGCATTTGTTATGACCTCTGTATTGCTAGTTTCATGTAAATAGCCTCATTTACTCTAACATCAACATTGGGGGTTAAAGTATCTTTTGGGGAAAATTGTGAGGATTTCAACATAAAAGTCATGAGTTTGTTGCAAAGAGAAAAGAAAAGTTTCTGATTCAGAAGCCAAAAGGTGAAAGAGTGGTGATGTTTTCAAAATCTCTACCAGGTGAGAAGAAAAATAAAGATGTATAAATAGATATTTAAAACTTTAGGAAAATAAATCTTATGTGACTTTTTAAAAAAGGCCAAAGCAGGAATAAAAGACCGTGACCACTAAAGCAGAAACTATCCATATATTAATGACAAGACTACAACAATACTGAGCTGTTGATGATCAACCTCAGCATACATGCCTAGATTGTAAACCCTAGAGCACATTTATTTTCATTTATGCATAGAAGAAATGTGCAGTGTAAGAATATAATATGAGCTTTAATTGGTGTAATGGTTAATAGGTGAGTCCAGAAAGGCTTCATCAGCAATAGAAAGGGTAAGCCTTTTTTTCCATCTTTAAAAGGTTGAATAATTGTGTCTTATTTGGTAAGTTATGTAACATATGGTTTTTAAAAATATAACTGAAAAACAACACAAATAAATAAAAACAATACAAACTAATTCTTTAATAAAAGAATTAGACTTTATGCTAGGAAATAAGGAGACAAATGAATAAGACCAGATCCTTGAATTCTGAAATTTGTGGCATTCACATTTTTTATGACTTTTATATTCAGTATTATACTAGATTATATTATTTACATCCTCTACTAAGCTGTAAAATCATCTAGTCAGAGTTCATACTGTTGTAGCTATTACTGTTTTTACCATTCTACCTTATGTGGAATCTTTTATATACTGGCTGTTTTGTAAATATTTATAAATGAATAAATATATATATAAACGAATGAATGAACAACTAAAATTTTTAAAATAATAGTTATGTGTAATATATACTGAGGACTATATTTATCTGATACAAAGATGACTACAAACCTTAAAAGTTCATTATTTGAAGGAGAGAAATAATTACAATTAATTTTAAATGAATCAATATAAATACATGTGGATCAATTTATCAAACTCATGCAAGAAGTTGTTTAAAATGTTGCATAAGATTACTTAATCCAAACATGATCACTACCCACAAGGCACGGAGGACAAACAGTACCAAACTCTGAAAAATCTAATCAACCAATCAATATTTGTAAAACAGCTTAAATTTGTTAAACTACATACTCTAACTCAGCTATGGGGAAGAAATTTAACTATAGGTCTTAGTATTTGAAGAGTCAAACCAACTATTTTAACTGTACAAGTGAAGGGTTCTAGAATTATTACTCAGGAAAATAGATCATTATGGTGAAATGAGAAGTCATTATTCTGGGATATGTTGTTTCAGTCAGCATTAGCTTTCAGGAACCAGTCAGGAATGGCAGTGAATAGAATTAGGCAGAGTACTCAAGTTTCAGCCAAATGAATTGGGAAAAGAAGGGAAAACCCACTCATTCATTCATTCTTTTAATCACTAGATAAGTATATAATGAATATCTACTACATGCCAAGTTCTCTGCTATATGATTAATTTTAAAACATAGTCCTAGCTAATTTTAAAACATAGTCATGGAGTTTACAGTCTAGTTATTCAAATAATTAGAAATAGATGAAACAAAAGGACGATGCAATAGCATTATTGTTAGGTAATGGATAAATTGGAAGGAAACATTGAACTAGCCCAACAATTGCCAATTTTCTGCTATTGTGAATGTACAATAGTGTGCATAAAGTCTAGGTTTGGGATTTTAAGTTGAAAAAACAGAAACTTACATATGTTTTTTAAAATGAAGAGAATCATTACTCTATATGAAGGAATGTAACTATGAAAAAAAGTCATTTGTATAATTAAATTAAAATACTATTTTTATTAATGAATGACAGAATTTGCCAGATTATAAGAAAATGGTGATTCTAATTATGGCACTATTAAGAGGGTCCCTATTGCAACAATTAGAATTTGACTTTTTAATTATGCCCTGGCAAACTGCCTTACTGAATTAATACCCTGGAACTAATATTTGAAGGCATCATTAGTATATTTTGTTAATAATACCAAGAAAGATTACATTATTATATTCCATATTGGAATCATATTTTCAGGTATTGCAAAAAGTCATTGTGAGCAAAGTAAAGTTTTTAAAACTTAAATTGCATGATATTTTTATTCAAATATGTTCTGCTAGGCACTCAGAAGTATAGGTCTCAGAAGAAACTTTTTATTTCATTCCAGTTCCTTTATACATATTCAGCACATTTTCCAAATATCCCATGAATTGCCCCTAAATTTCTGATAGTTTTCTCATTTACCTTCTCTGTTATTGCTAATTACTCAATACTATTGGTTCCATAGCCAATGTTTAGCACCATTCCTTGGCTGCCAAATGTCCTCTAGCTACTATTTACAGCTGTCCATACTTGATCTAAATTTTTGCGTCACTCAACAAAAAGCTGTCTGGATCTACCAATCAGCTTCATACAACTTCTTATAAAAGTGTTCCTGCCCCTTCTCAGCACCTAAGTCTGTTCCTAACAGTTCTCCATATAAAAGGGAAAAATAATTAAACAGAATCCTTTACTTATTTAAATATTTGCGTTTTTTCTTTTTTTAGAATATATGCAAAAGTGTATAATAATTACAGCAAAGTTTTTGTAATATACTTTTCCTGATTCTCTTATAGCTATCACTTTTGAATTACAAACTTACAGTAGCTATGATCCAACAAGGGGTTACAAATTGCAGGATTTTTAAATGATCTTTTAGATTACAAAACAACTACCATCCAAAGAGATATTCTCAGAATTTTAAAATCTTCTCTCTTACTAAAAATAAACAATAACAAATAATTTTAAATATAAAAAAAACCTTTAAACCAACTTCAGCTGACTCTATGGAACCTAATAGATAATTCTGCCTCTGTATTGATGGGAATGCACTTCAAAAGCACTATAATACAGCATTATTTATAATTTGTTACAAAATCATGAGCTCGTTCAACAGAAGTGTATCTTTCAGACAATTGACAAATATCCATCTACGAGCTAAAGGTGAGATTATTTAATAATATCTGAGAGAACCTTTAAAAATATTATAAACTTCAATGGTTTCTTAATCAGCATCATTATGGTCCTCAATTATTATACTAAGGTTTAATGCAACAATTCCTCATTTGGCATTAAGGTAGGTATATAAGAATGATTTTCTTGTATATTTCAGTGCCCTCAAGTCAATAAGCTTTTTGCTTTTGTGTTTGTTTTTTTATAGTCATCCACCCCTTTCTTATTATCAGCCTGTCATCTCCTTTTATTTTTTGCTTGTAAAATATCTTACCCAACCCACTTTTTCTTTTTTTTTCCACATCTATCCTTTACTGAGGACTAACAACTTTGAGTGAATTATGGATTTTAGATCATTTCTTCCAAACAAATGAGCATTAAGTTTCATACATATAAATATAAACAAATGTTATATCTAATACTATATAACATATTAACATTTATATTACATATACTGTATATAAGTTTACTCATCAACACAATGTGTGTGTGTATGCAACTAGGATATAAAATGGTTTAAGGACAATTTCCCGCATATTTGGGGTTTATGGCAGGGTTGTAGACATTTGAGTCAGCCAGAAAATGTGCTTCCTGATAAATAAAGTGTCATTGCAATAAACTAGAGCTATCAAGCTCCACCTAGTTCACCCTAATGAATGCTATGAGATATGGAAAAATAAAACAATGAAAAAATTTGCTCCTAGCATTGATTATATTTAAAACCTAATTTCATAAATATAAGCAAACACATGTTATCCAAATGTGCAATTTAATCTTACGTTAAAATTGAAATACTGAAAGCTTTGGTTTCATGTTGACAATATTATTTTAACATCATTATTTTAACTCAGATTCAATTCTACTTTGTTTTTGTTATTCTGAAAAAAAGAAAATAAGCCATAAGCCAGTCATAAACTCCCTTACTCTGCTGATTAATAGGGGTTTCTCATATTTTTGTATCAGTAAATCGCTTTGGCCTGATTCAATGCAGCATTATCCTTTATTAGGAAGTCGGGTTTTATGCTATCACATAACATTTTAGGAAAGGGCCTGAGAGATCATTGGTCCATTCCCTTTATTTAGAGATTATAAAAGGATTTTAGAAAGATGCTGAAAAAAAATCTCTTGTGTTCTGATTAAAGTTTATCTTTTTTTGCTCCACTTAAATAAGTTTCTTATGTCTTGTTCATATAAACAATCCCACTGTTATATAAGGTCAGCTAACTGCTATAGTGCTTCAATCAGGCATTACCATGTTGTGGAGAGAAAAAAATAACACATTTTTAAAAAATGTCATACACAGTAATGTTCATAACTTACATCCGTAAGTTATTGTTTTGTCATAAAAATGTTCTTCTCAACTATGACCGAATAATCCTCATCATATCTTATTTTTTCTTTGTTCCATTTTCTTTTCTATGTTATCGGCATTAGAGGGATTCTGGAAAAAATCACCTTAGTGGTATTTCTAAAAACAAAGAGATGTTTTAAAGTCATTTTTTCTGACCACAAAATTAATGCAAAGTATGAAAAATAAAAAAGAGGTATACATGTGTCTGTGTGCATGCATGTGTGTGTGTGTGTGTGTGTGTGTATAATGAGTAAATACATAATATATACACACAATCTATACTTACCATGATCTATTATCTCATCATCCAGGGGCTAAGTATCTTGAGATATTTCTATTTTGTCTTTCTTTTATACTGTTTTGTTTTGTTTTGTTCTGTTCTGTTTTGTTTTGTAACATGAATGCAGACATACATATGGAAATTGCAAGCCTGGCTACTGTCTTAAGAAAGAATTAACCTGAATTTGTTTTTTAGTTCTGATGTAACACACCAAGGACAGGCCTGCAGAGTCATTCTTTAAAAACCTTTTTCTGTGTTCACCATTATGACCTAACTTGACTCAGGAAGAAAGAGGCAACAATTTTGAAGTAAAGGAAAATTTCACCCATTTTTGAATCCTGGAAAATTATAAAAAGAAGAAGAAATATTTTGTTGTAAAAGAGCATCAACAGCAAGGCTCCCCCGCAACTACCTATTTCAACCACTGGCAGGAGGGAACTTTGCAGTATATCTTATAAATAGTCAAGAGCAAAATGTGATCACGGGAAAGGAGGCTTTGGGATTTATCTTTCCAGGATGATTTAATTTCAAATATGGATTGGAAGTAAATTGAAAACCAGAGGAACCACCATGATATATATCACGATGTAGTGAGGGGACTTCTTTCAGACTGCAGGATGGATCATGGTAGCTGATAGCTCAAGAAAGCTGAAGAGAAGTTGAGTCAGCATTGAGCAGGCTGAGAGTCCCTGTATATGCATATCAAAAAAAGATCACGTGAATCTACCTGAAGGGTGTGTTGTAAGCAGAAGAAAAAAAAAAATGTTTCCCTGGAGAGCAGCACGTGTCTGTCTTTACGCACTGGAGAACCAGCAAGAAGTCCCTTTATCCTCAAATTTAGAAAGAGATAAACACCTCAATATCCGTGCTCATATAAGATGATGGTAGTGTAAGAGAAGAAAATTTATTTGAGAAACTATTCTTTTAGTCCAAAAATAAACAAATACTAAAGTAAGGTTTACGTATTTTAATTGTTTCTAATAGAATCATTAGAATAGTCACTCTCAACCCCTGCCCCTGCAAGGCACCCTATTCAGAGAATGGGATTCGGAAGAAAAATTCACAAATTAGATGTTGCAAAAATAAAGTAGTTACTTTTTTCTTTGTACATTCACCTCATGGAATGAGTTAGTCACAGATTTGATTCACACGCATTCGTTTTCCTGAAATTACTGTGAATAATATATACTTTAGGCTGCCATGCCTTACATTTGTTAGGACATTAATGAAAGGATCAGAAATTTAACTCCATTGCCAACCAAACTGCCATTTGTCTGTCTGGATTTGAACTATTCTTAAGTGCCCTCAACTGAAAGCAGTCACTGTCCCAAATGAAATACAGTATAATGATACACGACCTCTATCTATCTCTCTACTATCATGAAGAATATGATACCACATATTTGATAGGAGGTCTAGAGCAATTGGTGGATTTATATTAACTTTGCATATAAAAGTTAGTGAAGCCACAAAATTGTTAATTGTCATTGCTTAAAATGTATTTATTTATTTTGAGTTAAATCTTGAATCTTTTTTCATATGTAGAGAATATCTATATTATAGAAGATAAATCCAAGGCCAAGAATCTTCTCCCCACCTGAAAGTATAGTATATATTTACATGTTCCATCTTATCTTTGTTAATATAAACTTTCCTGAATTATATATTCAGGATTTCTGATTTTTCATAGAGTCCATCTTCTAATAGCATTGGAAACTGAAGCTAGTTGCTGTAGGTTGATATCACAGGATACACCTCTCTCTTTAAGAAGAGATTCAGGGCCAGGCCTGGTGGCTTACACATGTAATCCCAGCATTTTGGGAGGCTGAGGCAGGCAGATAACCTAAGGTCAGGAGTTCGAGACCAGCCTGGCCAACATGGTGAACATGTCTCTACTAAAGCCAGAAAAATTTAGCCAGGCATGGTGGCGGGCACCTGTAATCCTAGCTACTCGGGAGGCTGAGGCAGGAGAATCACTTGAACCCGGGAGGCGGAGCTTGCAGTGAGCCAAGAGCCCACCAATGCACTCCAGCCTGGGCAACAGGGTGAGACTCCATCTCAAAATAAAAAAATAAAAAAAAAAAGAGAAAGAAGAGACAAGAGACTCAAATACAATTATTCAAGGTAATCACACTATGAAGTCTTGAAAAAACATGAAAAAGAGAAATCTTTAAAGAAAGTGTGGAGAATCATCTTAAATATTTTATTCAACTAACCAATATTTCATTCTTTGCTTATCTATGAGTTGTTCTGTAACTGAGCAGATCCTGTGTACTACAAATATTATTTTCTTTAGTGTGGTGATAGACAAATAATTTTCTGTAACTTTGCAAACAAACCTGGAAAATAGAGAGTCATGAAATAAAGACATTATGAAACACCTGATTAATGTTGCAAAAATAAAGTATAACAAAGTATATTTGATACCCTCATTTTTGGACAAGGTCCTGATTATTTTATCATTACTTTTGGCATAGCTTTAAAATATTTTCAAAATATTGATAAATGTTTAAACTAATATAATTGTTTGGTTTTACTACCAGAACAATAAAGCCACGAGATAAAGCAGTGCCATCCCTAGGCACGGAAAAAGTAGAAAACTTAACATGGTATCTGGAATATTGATTCTGGAAATTATGTATTTTTATTTCATTTGGGGTATATACAGACTATTGCATACTAATAAGAATCAGCTAAAATATTCTTACAAAACTTTGTTGTGTATAAAATGCATTCAGATTTTCTAAAAGAAAACAAAATATAAATATCCTGAATCTTAATAATAATAAACATTTATTTCACGTTTAGTTAGTACTATTTTGATACCCAATTTAGAAATAGTAGGCTTAGCATGGTTAGTTAGCTTATCATGAGTTGTTTAGCTTACACCAATAAAAAATTTGCAAAATTGCAAAATAATGTCATGACTTTCAATAATTTTTTTGTTATGAAAAAGAATAATTTTGTTTCATTCTTATAAACAATTTTTAATGTTAACATGAAATGGGTTGACTTTTTTATTTTAATACAAATTCATAAACACATTTTTTCAAACATCTTTATTGGGTTAATAAAAGCAGCTGGATCAATCAGTAACCTCTGGAAAATTTCTAATGGGAGTATACTCCTATGAGAATGAAAGTTAATAAGAAAATAACATCATCTTAATATTACTAAGAAAGTAGTTTTGACCTTGCAGTAGGTCCTCATAGAGGCTCAGTGATGCCTAGATTGTTTTCCCCTGGATTGGAAGATCTCTACAGTTTTTGTCAGTACTGTAAACTTAAATATTAATTGATGATTTACATCTCTGTGCAACTAGAGTTTTCTTTGTGGATATAATCAGAATGTTTTTAGGCATCTTGAATCAGCATTATAGTTGGAAGTCTGAGAGGAAGATAAGGAGAATTCCAAAAACTACAGTAATAAGAAATATATAATAGTAATAACAGGATTGGAGAGTAGAATACATTCAAAGCCAATCTAAATAGAATCAGGCCCATGCTAGAAGATGAACTGAATACAGAGGGCGTAAGTGCATGCTTGGATATTGATTAGCACAAAGTCACCAACAGAAGGCTGACAGATGATTAAATATTCGTCAGTGTAAGTCCAGTCCTAAGACATCCAGCCAAATGAGAACCATAGATATTTGCCACAGCATAATTGTTAGAAAAATGTTTTTAGTTTTCTTAGAAGATATGCTAAAATAATTGGAAATCCAGATAAATCTACCACTCTAAAAATGATACACCTACCAAATATCCTATACCTAGGATGAGATAACATGATTTGGAATAAAAAGTCCTTGATAGGAGACAGAAGTTCCACATCCTCTACTAACTGCTTAGAAAAGAGTGGTAAACAGCTTAATCTCCCTAGACCTTAATAATGCTAAATAAAACAGATGAACAGTATGATAGATAACATTTTTAAAAGTCCAATGCACAATGTAACAAACAGTGGCAAGACCAATATATATTATGAAACACCACATTAACGTTACTAAAAGAAAGTAACAACATGTATTTGATACCCTTTTGGTTGAAAGAGGTTCTGACTATTTAATCATTTTTGGCATAGCTTTAAAATATTTTCAAATTGTATACTGAGAAATGTTTCAAATATTATAAAAATTTTTTGATTTTCCTTTTAGGAAGTGACAGGAATGTGATCAGTTTAGAAAACTACTACTAGGAATTGCGGGTGGGGGGATATAAAGTAGAACATACATTTTGGGCAAAAAATAAGGAAGAAGGAGGAGGAGGTGAAGAAGAAGGAGGAGGGGGAGGAAGAAGAGGAGGAGGAGGAAGGAAGGAGAAAAGAAGGAAGAAGGAGAAGAAGGAGAAGGAGGAGGAGAAGAAGAGAGAAGAAGGAGGAGGAGAAGGAGGAGGAGGTAAAAACATGTCAAGGAGTGAAAAATCAATCCATTTAGAGAGACAGCAGGCACAAATACACAAATAACCAAAGGAAGAAAAAGTGGATTTAATGGTTAACTGGGTAACTAAGCAGGGAAGAGATCACATAAGAACGTGCATTTCTTGTGGCCAGGCAACAGTGATTCATCTCTTTAAGTCCATTCCTTGCATGTAATCAATGAAAGGGTTTTATTTTAAACAGAGTTATGGGTCTCAGCTCTAATTAAAAAAAATCCTTATCATGGGTATTTTAAATAAAAAATGTTCTAATTGTTAATAAAATTCTACATTACACATGGACAGTCTCTACTTTTAGCTTCATTTAATACATGGAAACTATACCCAAAGTCAATATTATTAGGTAATGCTATTTTCTCCAAGGAACAATGCCATAATTGTTAATTATCCCCCTATCCAATGATATTTCCTAAAATAAATCCAAGTTATGACCAATTATAGGAAAGTATGTTAAAGAAATAAAAATAAAAGTCTGAGATTACTTAAAATATTAGATCAATATTCTGTGGTATCATATCTGTATTATTTTTCCACATTTCCCCTGGGATTTGAAACCTTGGTATTTTAGACTTCTGCCTTTCCATGCCCTTTTCTCTCCCTGAAATGCCAGTGTCATTCCATCCAATTAAGAGACTCCTATTTATTCACCAAAACATTTCTCAAGTGTTCTAGTAAGCTTTCACTTGCAACAAATCAGTCCTGTAATATAAAAAAGATTTAACAGTTCAACTTCTCTACTAGATATGAGAACTCTGGAACATCTCCTTGATAAATATCTAACAAATGCCAAAGACCATATAAATCTCAGTGGATCGTTGTGAAAATTTAACAAGACTGCAAACACGAAGTGCCTAGTAAAAAATGAGCATCAAACTAAGTAAGTTACCTTCTCATTAATCCCCACTCACAATACATACATGCATAACCCTTCCTCACAATTTCATTTATTAGCATACACTCATTGACTACATATATTTCCAATCAATAGAGATTTTTAAATAATAGATTTTAAAATAGATACAAGAGACAGAAAAATAAGACAAAAAATTTTTAAAAAAGAAATGAAAAGACAAAAATTCTTGCCCTCATAAATTAACATTTTAGTGGGAAAAGGCAGATAAATAAGTAAAGCATTTAATATGCCAAGTAGTGATAAAAATGGAACAAGGAAAAGGAATAGAAAATACAATTACATGGAAATTGAATAAGCTGCTCCTGAACGACTTTTGGATAAATAATGAAATTACAGCAGAAATCAAGAAGTTCTTTGAAACTAATAAGAGCCAAGACACAATGTACCAGGATCTCTAGGACACAGCTAAGGTGGTATTACGAGGGAAATCTGTAGTACTAAATATCCACATCAAAAAGTTAGAAAGATCTCAAGTTAACAACCTAATGCCACAACTAAAAGAACTAGAGAACCACTTGCAAACAAATCCCAAAGCTAGCAGAAGACAAGAAATAACCAAAATCAGAGCTGAACTGAAGGAGACAGGGGCACACACATACACAAAAATAACCATTCAAAGGCTCAACAAACTCAGGAGCCGTTTTTTTTGCAAAAACTAATAAAATAGTTGATATGGTTTGGCTGTGTCTCCACCCAGATCTCATCATGAATTCCCACATGTTGTGAGAGGGACCTGGTGGGAAGAAATTGAATCATGGAGGCAGGTTTTTTTCTGTACTGTTCTCGTAATACTGAATAAGTCTCAGGAGATCTGATGGTTCTATGAGGTGGAGTTTCCCTGCACAAGCTCTCTCTTTTTGCCCGCTGCCATCACGTAAGATGTGACTTACTCCTCCTGGCCTTCCAACATGAGTGTGAGGCTTCCCCAGCCATGTGAAACTGTAAGTCCATTAAACCTTTTTCCTGTATAAATTACCCTGACTCAAATATATCTTTATTAGTAGCATGAAAACAGAATAATACAACGACCACTAGCTAGACTAAAAAAGAAGAGAGAAGATTCAAATTAACACAATTAGAAATGATATGGAGAATATTACCAATGACCCCACAGAAATACAAACAGCCATCAGAGAATATTATAAACACCTCTATGCCCATAAACTAGAAAATCTAGAAGAAATGGATAAGTTCCTGGACACATACACGCTCCCAAGAATGAGGCAGGAAGAAATGTAATCCCTGAACAGACCAGTAATGAGTTCTGAAATTAAGGCAGTAATAAATAGCTTACCAACCAAAAAAGCCCAGGACCAGACAGCTGAATTCTACCAGATGTACAAAGAAGAGCTGATACCATTCTTACTGAAACTATTTGACAAAATTGAAAAGGAGAGACTCCTTCCACACTCATTCAACCAGACCAGCATCACTCTGATACCAAAACCTGGTAGAGATACGACAACAACAAAAAACTCCAGGCCAATATTCTTGATGAACATTGAAACAAAAATCCTCAAAAAAATTGTCAAATCAAATCCAGCAGCACATCAAAAAGCTTATTCACTACACTCAAATAGGCTTCATCCCCAGGATGCAAGGTTAGCTCAACATCCATAAATCAATAAATGTGATTCATTAAATAGATACAAATAAAGACAAAAACCACATGATTATCTCAATAGATGCAGAAAAGGCTTTTGATATATTTCAACATCTCTTTGTGTTAAAAACTCTCAATAAATTATGTATTGAAGGAACATACTTCAAAATAATAACAGCCATGTAGGACAAACCAATAGGCAACTTCATACTGAATTGGAACAAGCTGGAAGCATCCCCCTTGAAAACTGGCACAAGACAAGGATGTGCTCTCTTGCCATTCCTATTCAACATAGTATTGGAAATTCTGGCCAGGCAATCAGGCAAGAGAAAGTAATAAAGCGCATTCAAATAAGAAGAGAGAAAGTCAAACTATTCCTATTTGCAGATGACATGATCCTATATCTAGAAAGCTCCACTGTCTCAGCCCCAAAAGCTTCTTACCCTGATAAACAACTTCAGCAGTCTCAGGATACAAAATCAATGTGCAAAAATCGCTAGCAATCTTATTCACCAACAACAGTCAAGCCAAGAGCCAAGTCACAAACACCCATTCACAATTTCCAGAAAAAGAATAAAATACCTATGAATACAGCTAACAAGGAAAGTGAAAGATGTCTACAAAAAGAGCTACAAATCACTGCTCAAAGAAATCAATGATCACACAAAAAAATGGAAAAACATTCCATGCTCATAGATAGAAAGAATCACTATTGTTAAAATGGCCATACTACCCAAAGCAATTTATAGATTCAACGCTATTCTCATTAAACTATGATTGGCATTCTTCACATAACTAGAGAAAACTATTTAGAGTTAATATGGAACAAAAACAACAAAAAAGCCCAAATACTAAGGCAATCTTAAGCAAAAAGAACAAAGCTGGAGGCATCACACTACCCAACTTCAAACTATATTACTTCAAACTATACTACTTCAAACTTTGGCAGTAGTAACCAAAACAGCATGGTACTGGTACACAAAAGACACAGAGGCCAATGGAACTGAATAGAGAACACAGAAATAAGACCACACACTTACAACCATTGATTTCAATAAACCTGATAAAAACAATGGGGAAAGGATTCCCTAGTCAATAAATGGTGCTGAGCTAATGGGGTAGCCATATACAGAAGATTAAACCTAGGCCCCTTCCTTATACCATATACAAAAATTAAATAAAAATCGCTTAAAGATTTAAATGTAAAACATAAAACTATAAAAACCCCAGAAGGCAACCTAATCAGTACTATCTTGGACATAGGAACAAACAAATATTTCATGACAACGATGCCAAAGCATTGCAACAAAAGCAAAAATTGACAAATGGGATCTAATTAAACTAAAGAGGTCCTGCACAGGAAAAGAAACTATCTACAGAGTAAGACAACTTACAAAAGGGGAGAAAATTTTTGCAAACTATGCATCTGGCAAATGTCTAATAGCCAGCATCTATAAGAAACTTAAACAAATTTACAAGAAAAAAAATGCATTAAAAAGTGGGCAAAGGACAGAAACAGACACTTCTCAAAAGAAGACATACATGTGACCAACAATCATATGAAAACAGAGCTCAACATCACTGATCATTATAGAAATGCAAGTAAGAACCACAGTGAGATACCGTCTCACACCAGTCAGAATGGCTATTACTCAAAAGTGAAAATAATAATAATAATAACAGATGCTGGTGAGGTTGCGGAGGAAAAGAAACACTTATACACTGTTGGTGGGAGAGTAAATTAGTTCAACCATTGTGGAAGACAGTGAGGCGATTCCTCAAAGACCTAAAGACAGAAATACCATTTGACCCAGAAATCCCATTACTGGGTATATGTCCAAAGGAATATACATTGTTCGGCTATACAGATACATGCGTGCATATGCTTATTGCGGCACTATTTGCAATAGCAAAGACATGGAGTGAACCTAAATGCCCATCAATGATAGACTAGATAAAGGAAATGTGGTACATATACACCATGTAATACTATGCAGCCATAAAGAGAAACGAGATCATGTCCTTTGCAGGGACATGGATGGAGCTGGAGGCCATTATCTTTCGCAAACTAACACAGGAAAAGAAAACCAAATACTGCATGTTCCCACTTACAAGTGGAAGCTAAATGATGATAACACATGAACACAGAGGGGAACAACACACACTGGGGTCTATTGGAGGGTGGAGGGTAGGAGGAGGGACAGAAGATCAGGAAATATAACAAATGGGTACTAGGCTTAATACCTGGGTGATGAAATAATCTGCACAACAGGCCCCCATGACACAAGTTTACTTATGTAACAAACCTGCACACATACCCCGGAATTTAAAATAAAAGCTTTTAAGAAAACCAACCCAAATGTCCAACAATGATAGACTGGATTAAGAAAATGTGGCACATATACACCATGGAATACTATGCAGCCATAAAAAATGATGAGTTCATGTCCTTTGTAGGGACATGGATGAAATTGGAAATCATCATTCTCAGTAAACTATCGCAAGAACAAAAAACCAAACACTGGATATTCTCACTCATAGGTGGGAATTGAACAGTGAGAACACATGGACACAGGAAGGGGACCATCACACTCTTGGGACTGTTGTGGGGTGGGGGGAGGGGGCAGGGATAGCATTAGGAGATATACCTAATGCAAAATGACGAGTTAATGGGTGCAGCACACCAGCATGGCACATGTATACCTATGTAACTAACCTGCACATTGTGCACATGTACCCTAAAACTTAAAGTATAATAATAATAAAATTTAAAAAAAATGTGGAGATGCATGAGGAAGTTGGAATTTTAGACAGGTAGGCCCAGGAAGACCTCATGTTTAAGTGGGTGACATGTGAGTGAAGATCTGAAGAGAGCTGACAGGCCAGCAGAAGGCTGGTGGTATTTCTGGCAAAGGGAAGACCAAACACTCTTCCATCAGCATATAACCACGTCGCACATACAGAATTATAGATATCTCCAAGAAATGTCTCCAAGAAGGAAATGAGATGAACTGAAGCAGAAGCAATAATCTACATTATAAATGAATCATTAAAACATTATTTATATAGCAGGGAACTGAAATTCAAACCCTTACTATGTCCTAAGACAAAAAAAAAAAAAAAAAAATCAATGAAAAGAGACTACCATGTAGCCTAGCAAATTTTTGATTTATAAGATAAATAAAAAATCTGAGAGGCATCGAGATAGAAAAAATAACAAATAACAGGTTGGTTTCAGGTCTCTGCTCATCAGATGACAATGGAGCAATGTGATTAAATTTTAGAGGAAAATGTTAAAAATCAGAAGTCATACTCAACTTATTTTCCATTTATGTATAAACTTGAAAGAGATCTTCAGTTGTGTATAGGATCAGAAATAATGGCACTAATGTTTTCTTAAATGAATAAATAAAATATGTGAATCTATACTGCCAATAAATAAAAGATAGATAATAATTTACAATGTAAGAATTTTAAAAATGTGAAATAGATTAACAGATTTTTTTTCTGTTTGAATGAGAAATCAATTATATGGTAATCAGTTCTAAAACAAATTCAATTTCTGACCATTTCTGCAGCCTAAAATATCAGGCTTAATCTTGCAACATTACCTTCAGCTGTTATTTTTCCTTGTATTGGGAAATATCTCTTGGCATATATCCTTCATCAAGAGTGCAGATGGAATCTTTTTCCTGAGTTGATAGAAGCTTAACACATGAAATGATGTTTTTATCTTCAGACTCTTGCTAAATAATATCTAAACTAGGCAATTCAGCTGATAGGCTCAGTGAAATATTAAACCAAAGTTTTGTTTTGTTTTATTTGCCTCTCACAAAGTTATCACCAGCTAAAAACAACATAAAAGTCATTTAATAGCCAAGTGTAATTAATGTTTTTCTTGCTAATTAAAATGCATATTGAATTACTTGATCCATCCTGTTGCTTTGATTTTAATTGGGAAATAATAATAAATCACTTAAAATGTAGTCTCACCTGTCATTTAGTTCCCTTTTTATGTCCTCTTGAATTTTAGGACCAGTCATGTTTCTTCAGTAATTGTGAAAGATTCAGTACGTAAATGTATATGTAAAAATATTTTAAAAGTATACTTCTAAAAAATTTTAAAAGTATAGCAAATATATTGAGTTGTTATTTTTGATATATACTTCTAATTTTAAATATTTTAACATGTACATTTTTCAAAGTAAAAATTTTGTTTCATAAATAGAAAACATGACTAAAATTTTGTACAGAGAATATAACCACAATTAAATAAGATTTTAAAACTACACCTAAAATCATATTTTTGATGGTGTTAGGATTGTGGATATTTTTGCAACTGCATTTTTTTTTTCATCTGGGACTATGTTACCCAGGCTGGAGGAAGGCAGTGACTATTCAAAGGCTCCATCATTGCCTATTGTGCACTGCAGTCTCAACCTCCTGGCCACAAGCAATCCTCCTGCCACATCCATCTGAATTGTGGGTATTTTTATTTTTAAAACTCTATACCTTCCTATATTTGTCAATTTTTTTCACAATTAGTATTCATTCTTATAATATCAGAAATGCTCTAATGAAAGTAATATATTTTGTCATGTTAGTGTTAGTCTACTTTTTCATCATTGACTGGGTATAATTGGCATTTTGGAACATGCCATTAGAATCCTTCATAGGTACTTGCTTGGATCAGTTTTATACTTATTTCTGCTCAACTGAATTGCAGCCTCCTGAAAGATTAAATCTGGTCTGCCTCTGACATTGATAGGATTCAGGACTCAGAAAATAAGTACAAACACAGGGTCAAATATCCTTATGTCTTAATATTTAAAACCATAAGTCAAAACAACAAACTGTAAAATAATACATACTCTAACCTTTTACATTAGCAAATATTAACTTCCTATTGCCAAATGTTTTTTAAAAAAGTCAAGATATTATTTTTTTAAGACTGATGTAAGTAACATATCAAAGACACATGTAGCTGTCATTGCAAATGCCTAGATACTGTGTGGATAAGATGCTGATGTAAGGATGCAAAAATATACAGGCACATTATATATACATATATATTTCATAAATTATTACTATTTTATATATGTCTATCTTATAAAGCATATTCTTTTTGCCTTCATTTCAGTAAAATTATTCATAAAGGTAATAATAAATATCTGTCCATAAAGATCTAAATAAATTTTAAAAATTTAATTATAAGTATAAAAACTTCAATAAATTTTAATACAAATGTAATTCAAAGTAAATGTAAAAGTTTTAAAGTTATTTTATATATTTGTTGTTTTTAAAAAATATTCAAAATACTCTACTAAAATTAATTGGAAATATAAAATATCAAAATATTTAATAAAATCATGTAAATATAATGTTAAATTTAATTTTATAAAATTCTCATTCTAAGCCATTAAATATTTTTATAAAAATAGAACTATTCACAGATCTGTTATTAAATGTCCACCCAGTTGTACCTTTTATACATATTATATCTAAGGCTACATCTATTCAGATTTAAGAGTAGCATGAATGGTTAAATATTGAAAAATGTTCCTCAGCCAATATGTGCAACACTTGCAAAAGAAAGATGCTTATTTCTGGGCCGGGCACGGTGGCTCACGCCTGTAATCCCAGCACTTTGGGGGGGTGAGGTGGGCACATCACCAGGTCAGGAGATCAAGACCATCCTGGCTAACACGGTGAAACCCCATCTCTACTAAAAATACAAAAAATTAGCTGGGTGTGGTGGTGGGCGCCTGTAGTCCCAGCTACTCAGGAGGCTGAGGCAGGAGAACGGCATGAATCCGGGAGGCGGAGCTTGCAGTGAGCGGAGATCTTGCCACTGCACTCCAGCCTGGGCGACAGAGGGACTCCGTCTCAAAAAAAAAAAAAAACATAAATAAATAAAAAATAAAAATAAAAATAAAAGATGCTTATTTCTGAGTACTCTAAGGATTAAATAAGAGCACAAAGAGGTACAAAAAAAAGACACTCAATATTTTATGTAAGAATCTAATGCATTTGTATTAACTGAAAGGATTTAAAAAATGAATTTGTTTTTATTTTTAAGTGCTTCTTCCTCTCAAACTTTTTCTTTACCCAGAAATAGTACATATCTGACACTGGCAATTGTGGAACCCGCAAATCTTCAAAGCATTTGTATACAATCACTTTTTGTTGTAATAACTTATGCCAAGATATGCAGTAGTTTTCCTAGGATCTGAATGATGTTAATCATGAGAACAAATGTTTCAAATAATGAGTTGTGCTGAGAATTGTCTGTGTGTTCTTTAATTATTTTTATTCAAGTTTCTCTGACTTGTGGAGCTTAGGGCAGGAAGTTTTTTGCACTGATCTAAGGCAGTACCAGTGGGAATCATGCCCTATCCACCTTGTCTACACTGCAGTTACTAAACGAACATCTCATAGCACAAGAAGTGCTTAATAACTTTTGAATTTGTTGAATTAACCTGAAAACCATTAATATAATAATCCAGAAATTGCTAAAGACATGCAAGTAGAGATTCTTGAACATGTAGTATGATGCTTTTTGGAATCCACCAAATGAATGAGTAAATTGAGAAAAGGAAGGTAATGAAGAATTTAAGATTGAGTAAAGCAACAAAATAAAAGGGGGTAAAAGGTGGGACCTGTTTGCAATGTTCCCTCCCTTCGTTAGAGTATATGCTATGCATCTGAAAGTCTCTAGTCTTAAAAAAAGATAAAGTAAATAATTAAAGTGATAAGTTAAATATTGACAGCCCTTAACAAAATGCAAGCCCAATTTTATGTCTGAAAGAGAATCTATTTACACTACACGTGCAAAGCAGGTATCCTTTTGTGAATTTAAGAGCTTGTATCTTTCTTGCACTAGAAAGGAGGAAGTTCGAACCCATGGCAAAGAAGTTAAAAACCTTGAAAAAAATTAGATGAATGGATAACAAGAATAACCAACGCAGAGAAGTCCTTAAAGGACCTGATGGAGCTGAAAACCATGGCAGGAGAACTACGTGACGAATGCACAAGCCTCAGTAGCCGATTGGATCAACTGGAAGAAAGGGTATCAGTGATGGAAGATCAAATGAATGAAATGAAGCGAGAAGAGAAGTTTAGAGAAAAAAGAATAAAAAGAAACGAACAAAGCCTCCGAGAAATATGGGATTATGTGAAAAGACCAAATCTACGTCTGATTGGTGTACCCGAAAGTTACAGGGCGAATGGAACCAAGTTGGAAAACACTCTGCAGGATATTATCCAGGAGAACTTCCCCAATCTAGCAAGGCAGGCCAACATTCAAATTCAGGAAATACAGAGAACGCCACAAAGATACTCCTGGACACAGGATATACATTGACACAGGAAGGGGAACATCACACACCGGGGCCTGTTGTGGGGTGGGGGGAGGGGGAAGGGATAGCATTAGGAGAGATACCTAATGTTAAATGACGAGTTAATGGGTGTAGCACACCAACATGGCACATGTATACATATGTAACAAACCTGCACGTTGTGCACATGTACCCTAAAACTTAAAGTATAATAATAATGAAAAAGAAAAGTCTTGATTTTTATAACCAATGATATTATTTAAAAGAAATATACTAGTAAAATAAATTCTAAAATTTAGCTTAATAGTTCTTGAGTAAGGCAAAAGAAAAAAAAAGACACATTTTACTGCCAATTTGTTAAAGAAAGTGCCAGGTAATGTCACTCCACTGTGGTCATATCTCAAAATATCTCTGCTTTTATTCTAAAATAAGACATGATCTATAAAATGTTTGTGCATCTCAAGATGATTTCACTGAAAGCAGTGCAGAGTTCCAATAAGGTAATCAAATTCTTCAGAGACTCTTCTAAATATAATTCGTAACCTATAAGGTATTTTGTATTCTCTTTAATAGAATGCCTGACAGAAATAGAATAGAAAAAGATTACCTCCTTCCTCCCCAAAGACATGCAGTGGATCTGATTCTGTCTCAGCCTTAGTCAACAAGTGTATTAATGGAAATACTATGGCTCAGTATGTTCCACATTGGTAAACTTGACAGAAATAGCCTGAAGTTAAAAAAAAAAAAAAAAAAACCTAGAAAAATTTAGATTTTAGGAACTCACTGTGAACCCTGAAAATTAGTCACTAAATCTGTATTTTGATGATCCCTTTTTGAGACATATATTATGTGAACTATTCTTAACATATTTCTGTTTTATATCCCCATTTTAATGGTTTCAAAAACTACTTTATTTAGGAATAAGGTTTTATTTCATATTTAAAACTTCTAGTGCCATCTGATATAATATCATTTTTCCCATTGTATAAACTCACCTCAAACTTCAGTTAAATGATTCGTAAAAGCAATTTTGTCAGTTTTTCTCAACAGTGAAAACATAATATTGCTTTTCTAAAAATTCTAATAATATGAGCTTAAAATGTTAGTATGAGAGCAGTTTTCAGCTTATTTATATTTGATTTATGGCTTGTTCTGAAATATATTCTTTCTGCTACAATGTTTATTTTCTGTAAAGTGGATGAGTCATATGTGACAGGTAAATAGGGAAACAGTATCAATATGAAGTGGAAATTGCTTTGATTCACACACGATATTCCTTAGCATTTCAGTGCTTTGTGCCACCAAATAACTACTGAATGCAGCAAGCCATGAGAGAATATAATATTATATACAATGCCAGCTGACCCCACAAATCTACCTGTTGGCTTGAATTAAATAATGCTTCTGACTTGGAAGTTATTATTACATAGTTTGCTACCATTCTTGTATATTGAATAAAATGGTGGCTCCCCAAATATATGCCCGCATCCCAATTCCCAAAGTTTGTGAATATTGCCTTATTTGGAAAAAGGGTCTTAGCAGTTGTAATTAATGAATGTAAAATATAGATATGATAATTACATTATCTGGATGAGTCCTCAGTCCAATGACAAGAGTCTTTGTAAGAGAAAGGGAGAGGGAGATTTGAGAGAGAGCAAGGAACAGGAAAGGACACAAAGCATAAGTTCACATAAAAATGAAGCGGAGAGTGGAGTAGTGCAGCCTCCAGCTATGAAATGCTCATAGCTACCAGAAGCTGAAAGAGTTAAGAAAGAGAAGTTTTTCCTACAGCCTCTTGGAGGAAGTGTTGCCCTGTTGACATGACTCCTTGATGTTAGACTTATGGCCAGACTAGTGAGAAAATAAATGTCTGTTGTTTTAAGACTCCTAATTTGTGATAATTACTTAAAACATCCCTAGTTAATTAATATATCTTGTAACTTTCATTTTAATCTTCATAACAGAGCAATTTAACTCAAATTTTTCTGGTTCCTCCTTTCAAACATAATGATTACCTTTTTTGGTAAATAAAGTTTGATATGTACTGTAATATTTATAACTGTTAGGAATTAAATATATATTATATATATATTTAACTGCACCAGTATATTTATAAGGAACGTCATTTTGTTCATTTGTTTTTGTGCTCTAATTGCAAAGTTTTATAGATGCTGAGTCACTTTGCCTATCATTAACTTTTCTATCAGCATACTCTTTTTACATGTGAGATTTTGGAAAACAGCTCAGTTTATTTTTAGAAATGCCTATTTTGTGATGTAACAGAAATGCTTCCATTTTATGTGTATAGATGTCTCTTTAAAAATGTAATTGCATATAAAAACTGACAGCATAAGATGTCAGTGATTATTAAAAGCATTTTTCTGTAATTTCTTGGGTACATAACATTACAGAAATAAAAAATTGAAAGCTATCTTGGTTGTCATTTTGTCTAACCTCCAGACTAATGCAGGAAAGCTGTCTATAATATTTAGGTTGCCATCCAATGTTTATTTGAATATGTCTATTGACATACAGCTTATTCAAATTAGAGAGTTCATAACCATGTTTAGGTTTCTAAATTACTATCTGAAATATATTTAATCCTCACTTCTTTTTTACTTTCATTTACAATTATATATTTTTTGAATTTGCACATTTAGATATATGTAAAATAGTCTTTTTTCAGGTAAAATAAAAGTTGATAGGGTGCCTGAGGGTTTAGTCAGGATAGATAGCTGAAGGCAGTTTTGGATTAGTGAAATTATAGACAACTAGACGCAATAACTTCTCTAAGGATATATTAGAAGTCACATATATGACCTGGATAAAACAACACAAATGGTCATCACCTGACAAATGAATAAATAAAGCATGGCATATCCACCTAATGGAATATTATTCAGGAATATAAAGGTAGTGGAATATGAACAAGTCTTTAAACATTATGGAACGTGAAAGAACCTAGTTGCAAAAAAACACATTTCATGGTTCTATTTATTTCTGAAGATCCCAGAATAGGCAAATCTATGGAAACAGACAGTACATCAGTGATTTCCAGGGATTGTTGGGAAAAGATCATGTGGAGTGACTGCTAATGGATTTTTTTTGGGGGGGTGATGAAAATTTCCTAATATTAGTTCATTATGTTTGTGCAACTCTATGTATATACCAAAAACTACTGAATTACACATTTTAAAAAGGTGAATTTTACTATACATTAATTATATCTAAATAGAGCTGTTATGAAAACATACACATACACACACACACAAAACCAAAACCAAAAAACAAATCAAGGTCCACATGGTATCAGCAGCTATGAGAAAGGAAGCAGAGAAATGGCAAAGGGAAATTGGATAGACTTAAGAGCCTGAGAACCTACAAGTCACCTACAGGTACTCCTTAGAAACCTGTCCAGCTAATCAGCATATGGCAGTCAAAAGTGAAACAGCGTTCTTCACAGTTCAACTCAAAGGTATGTGTAAGGAGACTGTCTAAAGGCTGCTGTGAAAAAAGGTTGAGCCCTATGGATCCTTGAAATCCACTGACTAGATATCCTTTCCAGAACAGTCTGATATTGACAGAAGCTGTAGGATACAGAAGCTAAATTAAGAGAGTTCAGATAATTTGGGAAAGGGAAAGAGAGTTAACCTTTCAAAAATATATGACTATATTTTTTTAAACATCTGTGAGAATAACAAAAGTTTTGCCAGATATGGTGGTTTACACTTGTAATCCTGTCACTTTGAAAGGCTGAGGTAGTTGAATCGCCTGAGCTCAGGAGTTTGAGACCAGCCTGGGCAACATGGTGAAACCCAGTCTCTACCAAACACGCAGACACACACACACAAACACACACACACACACTCACACACCCACACACCCATAGCCCTGTGTGGTGGTGCACACCTGTCGTCCCAGCCACTCAGGAAGCTGAAGTAGGAGGATCACTTGAGCCTGAGAGGCAGAGGTTGCAGTGAGCTGAGATCTTACCACTGCACTCCAACCTGGGGGACAGAGTGAGACTCCGTCCCCAAAAAAGGAAGAAGGGAAAGAGAGAAAGAAAAGAGAAAGAACGGAAGAAAGAAAGAAAAGAAGGAAGGAAGGAAGGAAGGAAGAAAGAAAGAAAGAAAGAAAGAAAGAAAGAAAGAAAGAAAGAAAGAAAGAAAGAGAAAGAAAGAAAGAGGCGTGAAGGGAGGGGGGAGGACGGGAGGGGTGAAGGGAGGGGGGAGGGGGGAAGAAGGAAGGAAGGGAGGGAGGGAGGAAGGAAGGAAGGAAAGAAGGGAGGAAGGAAGGAAGGAAGGAAGGAAGGCAGGAAGAAGGGAGGAAGGAAGGAAAGAAGGGAGGAAGGGAGGTGAAGGGAGGGGGAAGGAAGGAAGGAAGGAAGGTGGGAGGAAGGAAGGAAGGAAGGAACGGAGGGGGGAGGAAGGAAGGAAGGAAGGGAGGGAGGGGGGAGGAAGGAAGAAAGAAAGGAAGGAAGGAAAGAAGGAAGGAAGGGAGGGAGGGAGGGAGGTTCTAATGCCTTTAGGTTGGTAAGGCTATCTTGATCTATCCTCTTCTTTAAGAGCATAAAAAGATAAATTTCATTTGCATATGAGCAGTAGAAAAAAATTGTAGTAAAAATTATGCAAATATAAAGGAAATAAGAACAATATACAGAATAATTTACCTACTACAAATAAAGGCACACCCAAAAAAGAATCTACCATCAATCAAACAGAAAAAAAAAACGAAGTATTTCAAAACAAGCTAAAGAAACTTAATAAAATTATAGAACACCGAAAAACAAACTTTAAAAATAGAAAAACTCAGATATAAGGGGATTGAAGAAGAGAGGATTGCAAGAAAAATATTACATAATTTAAGAAATAATTAGAAGAAACAATCAGAATTAGAAAGTAGATTAGAAGTTTTATTCTTTCTGTTAAGAGGAATAGAAAATGGAAAGGAAGAAATTGCTTTAATCAAAAAGAAGGAAAGAAATAGATCCAAAGTATTTAATAGATACTAAGAGGTGAAAAAATCAAAGTAATGAAATGTAATATACAGTTAAAACTATGATTTAAAACATTTTTTCTAAAATAAAAGAATAGTTGAAACAACACATTGAAAGATAGACAACATACTTGGGAAAACTGACCCAGAAGAACAAAACAGAGCACACCGGTACAACCATTAGATTCTAACAACAGTGAACATTTTTTTCCTTACAGGCAAAAAAAGGAAGTGACTTAAGGAAAAAATATCAGATTGTTACCAGATTATTCAACCATAACATGCTCCCCAAAATAGAATAATATGTTAATGAATGAAAATGTGAGCCTAAAATTTTATCTACAATCAAGCTTACTTTCAAGCATGTAGGTTATAAACTGTAATGAACAGGGAATATTGTATTCAATGAGCCCTTCCCTTTAAACAAGCTTCTCACAACAAAAATGACTGTAAATACATGAGCATAAGGAATTGTAGCAAATAATAAATATAACCTATAACTAAAATTAAATGGAGATTAAAAGGAAATTATATAGTACATAATACATACATACTTTGAAAATATATAACTGTCAAAAAATATTGTGGGGGAATACAGATTGCAAATGAAAAGTAAATAAGCTCACAGATTGCCTTACTGGTATTAACTTAGATTAAAGTAACATTTTTTTTTGTTTTTGAGACGGAGTCTTGCTCTGTCACAATGCTGGAGTGCAGTGGCCTGATCTCGGCTCACTGCAACCTCCGCCTCCTGGGTTCAAGTGATTCTCCTGCCTCAGCCTCCTGAGTAGCTGGGATTACAGGCACGTGTCACCAGGCCCAGATAATTTTTGTATATTTAGTAGAGATGGGGTTTCATCATGTTGGCCAGGATGGTCTCAATCTCTTGACCTTGTGATCCTCCCGCCTAGGCCTCTCAAAGTGCTGGGATTACAGGCGTGAAATATTTTAAATTAGGTGCTGTGGGGATTCATTATACTTTTCTCTCAGCTTTTGAATACTTTTGTAATTATTATAAAAGAGATAACTTCGGAGTTTCTAGTTTAGAAATCTTGCAGTAAGCCAGACAAAAAACAATAAAAACTGGAAACATAAGAATAATGAGGAGAATAACAAGGAGAGAATGGATATACTATTAAATAGAATTGGCAGAAGATTGTGACCTGTGGAGATAAGAAGGGTGGAGAGGCCAAAGATGACTCCATAGTTCTAGTTGAGATGACTTGGTAGATTGTGGTTGTCACCACTGAAACATGAGACACATGGGAAAAACAGGTACAATTAACTTAGATGGGAGCATAGAAGAATACATACGGCACAGAGGATGATGAGTTGTATCTAGAGAGATTAAATTTACCAAACATCAAGGTAAAACAAAATAATTAGCTATAATGACATTTTAAATTCTAAGTCCAAACTAATAATAGAGCCTAATGAATAACTACGGAATTAACTCTTTTTTCTTTCTTTCTCTCTTCTTTGGTTTCTGAAAAGCTTTCTTCCATAAATTCATCTCTTGTGCTCTCTCATCTGCAATTCCATTTGAAAACTTTTATTGCTTTTAGCAAATGGTTTGTACCTTGTTTTAAAAATTCAAATTAAAGGTGAAAAAAGTTGAAAGTTGTTTAAAGAAAAAAACAGGCCATTGCCTTATAATTCTGTTCTCCAGAATTAGGAAATTTGAAGCTCTTTTAATTGTTTCTCCTAGCGTTTACTTTTGTATTTCCAAATTACATGCAAATTCTACCAACTTGATGTTTATCAATTAGTAAAGGATCTACTGTCTTTCCATTACAGTAAATAGAGATTTACCTCTTACACTCACCTTGTAACCCAATACAACAGCTACATTATTGTTTGTTTGTTTGTTTATTTTGAGATGGAGTCTCTCTCTGTTACCCAGGCTGGAGTGCAGTGGCGCGATCTCGGCTCACTGCAACCTCCGCCTCTCAGGTTCAAGTGTTTCTCCTGCCCCAGCCTCCCAAGTAGCTGGGATTACAGGTGCCCGCCACCATGCTTGGCTAACTTTTTGTATTTTTATGCAGACTGGGTTTCAATATGTTGGCCAGGCTGGTCTCAAATTCCTGATCCCATGATCCACTTGCCTTGGCCTACATTATTGTTAAAATCAGTATTTGGTTTATGCATTATTATGAGTAAGTAAATATTGTTACTTTCGAGTCAGTTAACATACTCAAAATTACATTTTCTTGTGTGTGTAATGTGTGTGTGTGAGTGCGTGTCTGTTTGTGTGTTTTTTTTTTTCTGGAGTTTGTAATTAATACTTTTTTCACATTTTTAGTTTTATTTGGTCCTTTATACTGACCATTCTCACATCATAGAGTAGCCTATTAATTAAAATTTATCTTCATATAACTTCCTTTAATAGAAGTAAAATAGTGCATTCAACTATCCATATGGTCAAACATCACAGTCTCTCAGTTTCTCCCATTGCTCTCAAAATACCTGGAGAGGAACATAGCTTTCAAAGGCTGCTGCATAGCTGTGGCCATAATTCTAATTTCCTTCTCAGCACTGCACAGGGAGAGGCAGCACATTGTAGAGCTTACAAGTATAGACTTTGAAGTAAATTCTAACTGTGTTCAAATCTTAATTCTTAGGGGTGTTATGACATATAAATGAATTAATACATAAAAAGTGCTTAGAGAAGTTAATCTACAAAGTTCAATGACATGTAGTATTTTAAAATAAAACTTTTCTCCCTGCATTGGATCTATAGCTTCTTCCTTCTTGGTTGACTCTACAGTTTTGATAGAAGAGATGCTCCAGGGGATTCTTGAGAAACGATGGGAGATAAACTGTTGAGATATTGCATGTTGAAAATATATTTCTTCTACACTTATATTTACTTCCAAATAAACTGCAATCATATAATTACATTAATTAAATTTTAATCGTGTAATTACTCAATTAATTCATTGAGTAATTAATTAAAGGGCTTTTTAAAATCTCAGTGAAGTAAAATAAGGACTCCTAGCATCAGAAATTAGTAAGTTCTGCCACTGAAGATTCTCAGTGATTATTGAGACCAAGCAGAACAGTTGCCCCAAGTAATGAGCTTGTGGAACCTCACCCACACAAAATTAGTTACCTCTACTCTCTAAACAAGCCTGTCTGTAACTTACCATTCTGTAACTACTAAACCATGTCTCCAGGAATCGTAACCTATTTTCATTACTTGTAATTCTCCCTGTTCATTACAGTTTGTAGATTTTATATGTATGAAAATCAGTTTGATTGTAAATAATATCTTTGGCTCTCCCTTTACTGAGAAAATACACTCTAGCTATCAGCCAATATCATGCATTAACTTAAATCCTTACACTTAAAAAGGAGTAGAAAATCCTGAGACACCAAATATTTCAGGGAAACAACATTAAAACCATAAACGAATAAAACAATCACCGTGAACAAAAGGAAGAAATAACTACAGTTCAAGAAAATAAAGCTAACAGAAAAAATAAAACTAATAGAAGAAAAAGACTAAAATACTAAAATAAGGAAATAAATTTAAAGTAAATACATAAAATAAGTAAATAAGTAAAAATATTAAGTAATATTTATTTTGTATTTAATATTAATGTAAGGAAAATGTTAAAAAAGGAAATAAGCTTTAAAATAAAGCAAATAAACAAGTAAAAATGTTAAATAAAAATTTATTTAAAAGTAATATGATAAAGATTTCCATTGGAAAGTAAAAAAAGAAAAAAGAATAAAATATTTTTAAACAATTCAGTTTTTGGAACTCAAAATCATAATTGATATTCTCCCCTATGCACAACAAAACAGAATAACAATAATAACAAAAGTAGATTCTTAATATACACACTGAATAACAGATGGGGCAGGTTTATAGATAAAGTTACCCAAAAAGAACAAGCAAAAGTACTATTCTAAAGCAGAAATAAAATGCTAAGAGATAGGGCATATATGTCCCTGTCTGAATAATATCCCTTGATTAAGATATTCTACAACATAGATAAGATATTCTACAACATAGATAGATATTCTCCAACAGATAAGATGGAGAGGAAAAAAAGTCAAAGAAATAACAAAAAAGAATCTATGAGCTGAAGAAAGATTAGAGTCTTTATACTGAAAAGTACCACCAAGTGGCAAAAGTAAATTAAGAAAATTATCCCGAAAAATATTCATATGAAACTGTTAAATACTGAATAGGAAAAAGTATAAGTTTTCAGAAAAAAATACATAGAATTGGTAATCATACTAATATTCACACCTGGTCACTCCCCATTACATAAATATTTACTTTCTGAAAATATCATTCCTCTTAATCTGATTACTGTTTTTTTTTTTCTGTCAGTTTCCTCTTGTTAGAATATAAGATATTTGACAATAGGGAATGTATTGTTGCTGTTTTTATATTATTATTATTACCGTTTTCCCAGCAATAAGTGTTGTGTCCAGTATGTATTAGGTGCTCAATAAGTATTTACTAAAGAAATGAATTAACAAACAGTATGCTATTTTTTCAATGGACAAGACACTTAATCACTCATACTCAGTTGCCTAACAGGAAAAAAAAAAAAAAAGCAGCTACATGAGATGGTTTCCATGGTTCCTTACAGGTTACATTTTTGTGATTCAAGTATGACTATTTATCCCAAAAGTTAATTTACAATATTAAATCTTAACTTCTCAATCTCTTTAATGGCTGCTCTGTAGCAGTCATTATTTGTCTTATAGTTGTTACCCTGAATATAAACTCTGTTTCTATATTGGAACATTGCTGCTCTGTGAATCTTGGTTGCAGGTAGAATTGATCCCGACTCTAGAAGGCAGAAAGCCCAGATAAAGACAAACAAATTATCAGGACTCCCTTGTTTTTAGGCCATGAGCGAGTGACCTAAGTACAACACTCAGATGCTCTTATTCAGACAACAGAGAATCCGTTGCAGTGGCAGGAGGTGCAGTGGTCTCCAGGAACAGAAGTGGCAGTGACAACAGCAGCTTTATCCAGAGGCCACTGTTGCTTACTAGCAGTAGAGCAATCTGTGGCATCTAATGATCAGCAAAATTACAGCACAAAATGCTTTGCTGAACTTGTTTTTGTCACAGGACTGGATATTGCCTAACTTCCTTACTTATTTCCATTTTCTGTTTGTTTTGTTTTTTGAGCTACCCAACACCTTTTAATACGTTTATTTTCAGCTTACAACACCTCCATTCTGCTTGTAGGCTTCCAGCCAAAATTGCTGACTAATACTTGGCAATAGAATGATAAAGCATTCCTGAAACAGCCTCAGAAAATTCTTAGAAATATGATTTAAAAAGTTATGATTCCTTAATTGTTAAAAATAATATTGTCAAATTAATTATTTTCAGTAAAGATACATGTGATTAATTTTCAGCAAAACAAAACTATTAGTGGTAGATTGTGAGCTTTCAGGCTGAAATTTCCCTGTATTTCAAATGTTTGTTGTGTGTATGTATATGCATATATGTAATAGAAGCTAGCATTTGTTGAACTTACAAAAATTGCTGAAATGCTATATACGAGTAATTAAATTAGAATGTTAAAAAGGTTAAAAATAAAAAGACGCACAAATATGCTAAGATAATACTAATAAAAAAGTAGTATCTGTATTAATGTCAAAATTAGAATTAAAAGCAAAATCATTCAATATGGAAAAAAATTTTAAAAACATAAACCAGGAACAATGGTGCGTCTGTAATCCCAGCTAGTTAGGACCTTCAGAAATGCTACAGCCCAGGAGTTTGAGGCCAGGCTGGGCAACATAATGAGACCCCATCTCTTAAAAAAATAAGAACATATAAAATATATTTTAATTCATACAATTGTGATACATATTTAAATTTTGGTGCTCTCATTAATCTTCATAATATAGCATAACTTACTTCTTTTTCTTTGATTCAAATTAAGTCTGGCACAGAGTCCACATGGGCAAAAGCTGAGAAGGATACAGACCAGACTATTAAAAATGGAATAGGATAGTATGGTCTTTATCCAAGTTTCTGGCACAGAGCTCCTAAAACGCTTGGGATTTGAGTAACAGCAATGTCTTTTGTTATTCATAATGAGCTCTTTCTGATGACACCTAAGTTTATGCTAGTGAGACGAACTAGGATGGGGCCTCCAGATAACCTCAGGATGGGGCTAGCCTCCAGAAAGACCAAGTGATCAAAGTATTGGTACTTTTAGTCCAATTCAGTGACTTCTGGGAAGGCTAGGAGAGGCTGGAGAGTAAGCTCTATAAAAACACTTGAGGCCGGGCACGGTGGCTCACGTGTGTAATCCCAGCACTTTGGGAGGCCGAGGCGAGCAGATCATAAGGACAGGAGATGGAGAACATCCTGGCTAACACGGTGAAACCTCATCTCTACTAAAAATACAAAAAATTACCCAGGTGTGGGGGCAAGCGCCTGCAGTCCCAGCTACTCGGGAGTCTGAGGCAGGAGAATCCCTTGAACATGGGAGGTGGAGGTTGCAGTGAGCCAAGATCACACCATTGCACTCCAGCCTGGCAAGAGAATGAGACTCCATCTCAAAAACAAACAAACAAACAAACAAACAAGCAAAAAACACTTGAACACCTAAATCTGATGAGCTTCCAGGCTGTTAAACACATCAAGGTGCTGCGAGTATGGTGCAGTCCGAGAAAACATGGAAGCTCTATGCAAACTCCCACCCCCATCCCCATACCTTGCCCTATGTAGCTCTTCCATTTGACTCTTCTTGAGTGGCACTCCTTATAATAAACCAATAAGTTTATTAGTTTATTTACTAATAAGTGAAGTGTCTCCGTAAATTCTGTGAGACCTCTTGACCAACTATCAAACCTTAGGGGAGAAATTCGGGGCACTCCAATTTATAGACAGCCAGTCAGATGTATGGGTGGCCCAAGGCTTGTAATTGGGGTCTAAAGTGGAGTTACTCTTATGGGAGTGAGCCCTAAAGCTGTAGAGCCTGTGCTAACTCCAAGTAGTTAGTGTCAGAAATGAATTGAATTGTTGAAAACCGAGTTTCATCCAGAGAATCAGAAAATTCATTGTTGGCCTTGGAAATCAACCCAGACAAATATCAATAGGGGACTTACATATTTTACTGTTGTAATCCTACTATATATATATGTAGATATGTATTTATAATCATAAACATGTATTTGCTTTTTACTTTAGTTTTAAAATCTTGTAAATAATGTGTACAGAAATATAGTAAATGTAGTTTCTGATTTCTTATCATCTTTGATGCCTTCTCTTTTAGTATTGCTGTTATCCTATTTTGGTGCCTATTATCTGCTCAAGTTCCAATTACTTTGGCACTGCCTTACTAGGTATACAAAATGAAATAAAGTTCAGTAATGGTTAGTAAAATGACGCAAAAAGTTTAGGCGAAATGTTGAAATGAGCAATATCACCAAGCAGCTGAAAATGTGTTGAGATACACTAAGTGCTATATAAAAGAAAGCAAACAAACAAGACTTCATTACACAGTTGACTAATCTCTGTAACTGATGGGCAATCCTCATTGTCTTACAACATTCAGGCTTTCATTAGTGATTTCAGGCCAGCAGAGGAAACATAAAATTGAATGCATGCGGCCAAGGTGAAGTTTTAAGGGTATGATTTTGAATTTATTATGTTAAGAATCATATAAAAGTAATCAATAATAAATAGACTAGAAATGTCTTTACACAAAATGGTAGAAGGCTGTAGTCCTAAATCCAGAAAGCTAAACATATTCTGAAAAAGGAAGTTGTCAAGTACATCAAACTTATATTCTCATGGTTATTTGTATAAAAGATAACGATGATTAAAGGAAAATACTATACACGTAGTTCTCCATTATTTTCTAATACATTTGTTGTTAAATAAGTTACATTAATGCTTTCTAGAGATGAGATTTACAGCAAGAACTACATATGTACTTGTACATGAAATAAAATCTTTAGTGACATCTCTGATTGCCTGAAATGCAATTCAAAATCCAAATCTGTATATTATCACGAAGTAATCTCTCTCTGGGCAAGAGAAGCATATCATATGTCATATTTCTAAACTTTTAGTAGGAAGAGCAAGCCTTGCAAAACTAAACAGATTGCTCTGCAAAGGCTTCTGAACTTGATTTTTTTTTTTTAATCACAGAAAACTGCCATCTATCGGTAGAAAATCTCAACCAAGGAATTCATAGAACTTAACAGACTTGACTAGACTACAAAGCAGTTCACAAGGCTCTCAGTCTAATTAAGAGTGGTGTAACAATATTTTAAAGACCTTAATGGGATTTCTAAAAGCTAGTTATCAGCTTTCTAAATTATATTTACAGCATTTTTTCCAAATAAAATGTATCAGTATGTAATATATAATATACATTTATTTGACATTATTTTCTTATGTAAACCTAGACTAATTTTTTTTAAGAGACAGGGTCTCGCCCAGGCTGAAGTGTGATCTTAGCTCACTGTAGAGTCAAACTCCTGGGCTCAGGTGATCCTCTGGCTTCAGGCTCCTGAGTAGCTGGGATTAGAGGGCAGGCATGAGGCACTACAACTGGCCTCAACGTTACCTTTTAAAGATTCTAACTACACCATATTTGGGAGGGAGGGAGGAATTTTAATATTTTTGAAGACTAAAAGAATTATAAAAGCACATTATGTAAAAATGGTAAAAAATTAGTAATTTTAATAATGAAACAAAATATATTAGTAAAAGTTATTACTAATTCTCAGATAACTGTGATCAAAAATTATAACTTAAAATATATGTATTTTTTAACCATATAACATTAAACTTTGACCATTTTCCACATATGAATCTGTATTTGAATCAATGTGATTTTAAAACACGCTCGGGATGCTCAGCTTTTCAGTTTAATTTGGTAAACTAAGTGACCTAACTATAACCAAGAATCACTTTTAACAAATCAAAATATCAAAACTGGAAAGGCCTAGAAGTTAAACCTTGTAATTTTAAATTAAGGAAATTGAAACCCACTGAGGGTAAGCAATTACCTAAATATTACACAACTAGAAGAGAAGGCAGCTTTAGAACCTAGTCCCTTGACTACATCTCTGTTTCCTCTCCATTCTTTTGAGCCATCATTTTCAATTACATTAACTATGACAAAAATGTACACAGTTGTAAAAATTAGAAACAAATTTTTAAATATCTTGTAAACTAAGCTTTGTTTATTATTGTTCATAGTCTCATTCAAAAACAAAAACATGTATAAATTACAGGCTTATCAGATATTCTGAACTATCATAAACCATAGCATGGCACAGAAAAACATGTAACAGAAATTTAAACTCTGGAATCTAAAAGGTTAATTTCATGTTATCCTTTTATTAGCCTAGCATTCTTAAATTTTATCAAACATCATTAAATATTCTCTTCCATTCATACATCTGGCCTTCTTCAGATTAGTGGCACTCCTCATCAGTCCTGAAATTCAACACTATATTTAATCAATTTAAATCTACTCATTCTATTAAAATAAATAATCATTAACTCTGGAACTCCGAAGATAATGTGACTTGAAAGTTAAATATGCACTGAGGGAGAAGTACTTTTTTTTTTACTTTTCTTATCAGAGGTAATTTATTGCTTATATGAGTTAAGACTGAGCATCCTCAAATATGCTTACTAATAAGGAACTGTTCACCTTATTTAGCAAATAGCCTTTCTCTTGTCCTACCTTATAGATCATCTCCTACTTTCAGCTCTTACCAACATTCCACTTAGTCACAAAAGCCATTGAAGGAACAGTCCTTTGAGGCAATAATGTAAGGTAAATCTCTTTCCAAATTAAAAGCAAAATAAGTGGTGTAGCTCAGTGAAAATGCTGACTCAGAGGGATAAGTGTTTTAGCACCAGCTTCGTCACCAGCAACAAAGTGTGTTCATATTTGCCTTATACCAAAAAGGTCAGTGATTCTCAAGTAAATAGCTCCCTCCACTGGTCCAACCATCATTATATGCTTTGAAGCATAAAGTCCCTGGAGTTCTACTAGAACCTCATCTGTTTGCAATCCAGATGAGAGAATGCTACCCAGAACTGTTTGAGAATTTAGAAAAACTAGATTTAAAAGGTGGATCAGCCAATAGCTAAAAGGTAGCAATCTCTGTAGAGCAGTAAGACCTCAATGGAAATGTAATTAGATGAAAAAATATGTATAAATAACAGGACTCCTTTCAGAGACAGCAAGACCAGCGACTGGAAAACACACTATGAAAAATATCTCGCAGCTCTCAGAGGATGTGATGAGATATAAAAGAGAGGAAAAATGATCTCCAAACTACTGTCAAGGTATAAAGGGTCTGTCTAGGTACTGGGCTTCTTTTTGCTAACTGGGTATTAAAGTTTAGGAATAATCTGAATTTCTTATTTATAGTAGAGACTGAATACTTCTTTGCCCTTCTTTCGTAAAACACTTATCCTATTCTAAAGAATATTTTCAGTTCGAAGGGATTCTCATTATTAACCTATCCAATGTTTCTTTGTAGGAGATACAATCTAGTCCAACCTCTTTGTTTTGTAGATGAGGAGGCTCACAAAAGTAAAATAGTTTACTAAAAAGTTTCTCATCTAAATCCTGACCATATCGCCAGATTGATGAGGTATCCTTTATAGGACAGTGGTTCCCAAAGCATTGTGCTTGCACTAGCAGCAGCAGCATCACCTGGCACTTGTTAGCAATAAAAATTTGGGGGCCCCACCCCGACCTGTCAATTCAGAAACTGGAAGATGAAGCAGAAGCAATCTGTGTTGTTTCTGGTTTGTGACGGAGTCTCTCTCTGTCACCCAGGCTGGAGTGCAGTGGCATGATCTGGGCTCACTGCACCTCCGCCTCCAGGATTCAGGCAATTCTCCTGCCTTGGCCTCCGGAGTAGCTGGGACTACAGGTGCGCACCACCATACCCGTGTAATTTTTGTATTTTTAGTAGAGATGGGATTTCACCATGTTTGCTGGGCTGATCTCGCAATCTGTGTTTTAATAAGCCCTCCAGATGATTATGATGTACATTAAAGTTTGAGAACTTCACTCTGGCAAATGTTATCAAAATTTTAAAGTTAATTTATTTAATATAATAAATGAAAAAAAATTTTAACAGTGTTCTATGTACTAAATTTTAGGGAGTATAATCAACTTGTGAGTTGTATACAGATAGATTGTCCTTAGACAATCAAAGTTGGACAAATTGTTCTCACCCATGCTTACTCTATCCCACCCAATATCTCATTCTACGTTGGCCAAAAATACATATTTATTGTTCAGATTCACTCAAAAGACAATTTCTATGTGATTTTCTTTCTTCTACAATTTAACTAAATTCCAGATCAAATCAACTTTCCCTTATTATTACAGGCATATTTCTACCAAAATATTTTAACAAATTTCTGTTAAATAATTGGATACATATAATTTAGCTGGGCCTCATGGTTTTTGAGATTCCTGTCATGGAGATAAAAATTACTACTGGAAATCACTGAGAATGATAGTTCTCTGCCTTAGCTGCATCATTTAAGGCTGCTCTTTCTAACTAAAGAGTTTAGAAAAATACTGATGTCTGGATCCCTTTCATACGCCACCAAAAGGCTCTAATTTAATTATAATGGGAAGCAGCCAGGACATCAGAGTTTTTGAAAGTTCCCCAGATTATTCTAATATGAACTCAAAACTGACGTGAAAGTTGAACGTGAACATTGCTGATACTAAGATGAAGTCACTCCTGTCAGACCCAAACAAGGTATAGCTGGGAAGTCATGAAAGAAGGGGACTCATCCGTGTTTGAGATAAGAATTATCAAAAAGGCTTTTCTGAAGTCCACAAAAAGTTTCTGTATGTCCTATATGTGTTTCATATCTTACCTTACCTGGCTGGCTTTTTCTATATGTCCACATATATTTTTTCAACAAGATTTATCTAAGAAATTCTTCAAGACAGCAGTGTTACAGATTAGATGCTTTCACAAGAACACTTGCCTAGCAATGGGTATGTTTACCAACGGGCTGACATCAGCTCCAGAAATGAGCTTCTGTGACCAACATACCTTTATTCGGAGCAGTTTATGAGGACTCCTTTTTGCCTTTAAAAATTTCTCATTATCTCAGGTTATCTGGATACACCTATGATTTTTTTCATAGCTTGTGTGTCCTGGATTACAATCCTCTGTTATTTATTCTCAAGTAAAATCATTTTTTGGGAGAGTCTCTCTCTTTCTGTTTTTATTTTAGGTTGACACTGAGAACAATTGGCATACAACAATCTCCAATTTGGCATCCAGAGTTGCATTAAAACAGCAAAAATAAACCTGCACCACCATCTCTACAACAAAACTTACCATGTAAATATGTCTGGTTTCAGTCTACTGAATTGGCTTACTGACTTTACCATTTCCATGTGAAAAGAAGAAAAATGTGTTCAGAAGGTTAGAAAATTGAGTGTTTGGAAGGCAATAATGAAGAGCAAGCATTTCTACCACTGTGAATATATATTAATTGCCTTAAATATCTTACCCCAATCCTTCCCCAAGCCCAAAGCTGCCATATTGAAGTACAGCTTTTATAGATAAGTATTTCATAAACCTCTGCCTCAGTTAACAATAGCATTTTGGGATTCTATGCAAGATTTATTTGCTTGGCTAGACAGTTTCTTAGAGCCACATTCTGGTCCTTTAATGAAAATGCTATTCTTGTCATGTCAAACCCCAGTGGCAACTATTTGAGTAGATTTCTAATAGAATGTTAATATATTCTGACTTAGTACCCTTTGGGAAAAATATCAACATCTGTGTCAGAAGTGCCAAATTAGTATTTTCAGATATGTATGATGTACTATATTCAAAAAGAAAATAAAAAAAAGGAAAGGAAAAGAACAGAAAGATCAAAAAAGGCATTTAAAAAAAATTTGGGAGATATCATTTAAAATGTAAATTCTGGCCAGGCGCGGTGGCTCACACCTGTAATCCCAGCACTTTGGGAGGCTGAGGCGGGCAGATCATGAGGTCAAGAGATGGAGATCATCCTGGCCAACATGGTGAAACCCTGTCTCTACTAAAAATCAAAAAATTAGCCAGGCGTGGTGGCGGGCACTTGTAGTCCCAGCTACTTGGGAGGCTGAGGCAGGAGAATGGCTTGAACCTGGGAGGCGGAGCTTGCAGTGAGCCAAGATCGTGCCACTGCACTGCATCTTGGAGACAGAATGAGACACTATCTTAAAAAAACAAAAAAAAAAAAAGAAAAAGTAACAAAACTAGAATGTTTAGCAACACTAGGCAGCAAACCGTCATAATACAGGAGAACGAAAGCCAGAAGCTACGTCTCTAATGCTCACTCCTTTCAGGGCACTGTCAAGTTTGCCACAGTTCCCATGAAGGCTGTTCACACATTTGTTAACTACCTGGCCCTTGTTACTGATGGAGTTCAAGACACACTACCTCAAAATATGTCACCTTGGCAATTGAATATTTTAAGTAATTTGAGAAAACAGTAGAAGCAGGAATGTCACCCCCGCTCCTTGTGCCCTTCTTCCCTGAACCAGGTCATAAAACATAATAAGGACCTCCTGACTTTCTCCTAAAGCCAATGATAAAACTTTTGCGTTAGGAGTGTCTCCTCTATAAAGGGAAGAAAGGTACATCCTTACCTCTCAAGACAAGGACACAGAGAAGAATCAGAACACACAGGTATTGCCAAGCGGGATCTACTCCTCCCCATTGGTTTACTTGCATTAGATCACACCCTCTATGATCTATCATGTTTCTCCACAACTATCCACTATTCCTTAAACCTATCATGAAAAACACTTAGTTTTAACTATGTTGTGGACTTTGCATATCCTCAAGAAGACTTCCATGACATGCGAAACTAAACTGAATACATTTGTATGCATTTCTCTTGTTAATCTGTCTTTTATTATAGGGCCCTCAGCCATGAACCTAAAATTAGTAGAAAAAAAGATATTTTCCTCCCATAGATTAGCCTACGCTTTAGTGGGCCTCAGGTTTCACTGATGAGAGTATTAATGCTATGTGGAAAGATAGGTACAGAATGGGGCAAATCTAAAGTTAATTTTATTGGGCTATGGTAAAGATTTCTCCCTGTGAAGTCAACCTGATAACCATGACTTTGTTAACTCCCTTTTCTACTAAGTGATTTGAGCTCCATGAAAAGACCAACTTTAAATAAATTGTACCCAATTGAAATGCTCTTTAACAGTAAGTAGAGGAAGGGGAAGAAAAGAAAGAAAATAAAAAAAGGAAACGTGAAGAAAGAATATTTTAATAAAAAAAAAACTTGTCTGTATGTATAGATGGTTAATAAATCCCAAATGTCAATATGTATTTTAAATTATAATTCAGAAAGGACTAAATGAATCAGTTGATATATGTACATGTTGTGAAAGTTGTCACAATCAAAATCCAGTCACTAATGTTAAAAATAAAATAAAGAAAACCCTGACAAATAGAGCTGGAGAAGGCCAAAGGCCATGAAGAGGTTTTTTGCTTGTATGCTCAATAACAAAAACTATCACAAAAGACTGCAAAAGCAACAACCTTTTGGCTTAATTCCATTACAACTTTAATGCCATTGTAATAGCATTACAAAGGCATAAAGGCCATTACAACCTTATACAAAAAATACTTCTGCAAGGACATCTGCCCAGCAACTGCTTCTCTAACCTCAGACTGGCATCACCTTTGTTATTCATCTTTATAGCCAAAAATAGTTATTTCTAAACAATTATGTCATTCTCTTCATTTTTTTAAAATCTTTTAACTTCCTTTACCTTTCTGAATATGCATAGTTTACTGTGACACAGGTATTCCCATTGCAATGCTTATACCCCAATAAATATCTTTTTCTTTTATAGTGCTTCTCTGTTATTCACATTGACACATATGGTGTCAGAAATGGGGACTGGAAAGGAGCAATCCTGGGAGGAACTTGTGATTTTTGGAACCCGTGTGCAGTAGTCACTGGGGTTCTTTGCGTTCTCCCCTTCCATGGCCTGCCTTTTCTGCCCTGGTGAGTCTTCCCTCTGATGGCGCCTCTCTCGTTGTGGTAGAAGACATTCGATATTGTTAGGGGTCTGGTTTAGATAAGGATATTGTGGTAGAAGACATTCGATATTAGGGGTCTGATTTAGATAAGGATACCTTAACAAAAGACAATACATGCCTCCTGGGATGATAAAAGACATTTTGTCTTATTTGGTAATTTTTTTTTCTGATATAAACATATACGTCTTTCTGGATTGAGTATTCTGATTTCTTCAGAATTTACATTTTGTCTGTGAGGCATGTCTTTTCTAATAAATTACTTTTGGTTTGGTCTGCGTGCCTAGTTGAATATTTTGTTTGATCTGCATGCCTGATTTAAAATTTCAGTGAATACTCATCTTGGTATCTTTGATTTTGTTTGACCCTTTCCCCTTGCTTGTTTCTGAAAATCCTTCCAGAGCAAAAATAAACATTCTAAGTGGTGATTGAAGGATGGCTAATTAAAGCCACTGGGCTTTGCCACCATGTAAAAACATCAGTCTAAACTCCTGACATGCCTCTATAGAATTTATAAAATTTTCTTTGTTTCTGAGAGATTGATAAAAATCTTATTGGGATTCCCAAACATTAAGGCATACCAAGTTTTCTGGGACTCTAGCTGGTTACATAGTATAGCTCATTCTTCCACATATTTTTTAAACTGATGGGTAAAATTACATCATGGAAAATTCAGAGCTAAAACGATCATTATTCCAAAAACCCGTAACTCTAAGTTAACATGTATAGTCTTCTATGTTCTCTGCTATATATATATATACTTTTTTCTGCCTACTTTGAATCTGCTGACTTTTCCACTGGCATTGAGCTAAAACTCACTGCTTATGGCATTCCAGCCAAAATGTAAAAAAAAAAAAAAAAAGAAAAAAAGAAAGAAAAAAGTTTTTATGGGATTTCAAAATAATGACTTTATAAATTGCAACAGCTCTATGGTTCAAAAATTAATAACCTAAAAGGTAGAGAATCAAATAAATGTTTATAGGAATTAGGCACTCAGATCAAACAGGTCAAAATCCTTACCTCAGAGCAATAATATAAGGTATCTCTGACATAAAAATTTTATATTTTCTACCATGCAGAGGCCAAAAAGAAAAAGCCCCTCTGCCCCTAGTCTTCCAAGAAGATGGTAAAATTATTCTCTGCCTGAATTTGGTAGTCTAGCAAACCAAAGTAACAAACAAAAAATACATTTGTTACTAGTTCAAGGCTATTAGGAAATTTTTTTTTTCTTATACAATTCAGAAAAAAAAATAGTTAAAATGTAAACACTGAAAGAGGAAAGAGGGTGAGTTTTTTTTTTTAAATTAAACTCATTTTACTCAAAATTTTGGCCCACAGCCATCATTAAACTACCTATCAGGACACGTACAGTTTAGGCTTGTGAAGAGGTCCTGATTTTAACAAAAATATAATTTTGGTTCAACTGTCTTTCATAAACCAGTGTGATTATATTACTACCTCATGACTAAAATTCTAGAATGAAAGCTACAAGGTCTTTATTTGTGTATGTACACAGTGTTTCGGTATATTTATGCATATTTACATGTAATATATTATATCTTGTGTCTACAAAATAAATTCTGGCATAGTCAGCCAGAAATCCCTTAAGGAATTCTATTCATATTGGCTTAGATAAATGGACTGTCATCTAAAATATAAAATACATAGTAATTAACCGAAATGGTTTCCAGTTAATGTGACTTAAGTAAATTTTTAGTAAAGAAGCTGGCTTTAAAATCATTGGTAAAATAAAAAAAGAAATATCTTCAAAATTATCAGTATTTTTTGACAATTTTATACTTGTCTCAGACAGATGCATTAAGGTGTCAAGATTTGACACAAAAGTTATAAAACTTTTACAAAACCCAGCCTAAAATGGAATGACCTTTGTGTAATTTTGGTAAGACTAAGTTAATATTGTTGGTTTAATGAAAGTGACTATATCTTCTGAGTTAACAATAAAATATCCATATATTTGAGGTTCTTACTTAGGTAAACACCTGGTATTCACAGGCTATGATGACTAGTTTTACCTAATATCTGTTTTAATAAGTAATCTAGGTAAACTGTTTTTAAAAAGTTAGTAAATTGGGTGATAGGGTTTGGCTCTGTGTCCGTAGCCAAATCTTATCTTTAATTGTAATCCCCATGAGTTGAGGGAGGGACCTGGTGAGAGGTGATTGGATCTTGGGGGTGGTTTCCCACGCTGTTATGGCGATAATAAGTTCCCATAAGAGCTGATGGTTTTAAAGCATGACACTTCCTTGCTCTTTCTCTCTCCTGCTGCCAGGTAAGGCGTGCCTTCCTTCCCCTTCACCTTCTACCATGATTGTAAGTTTCTTGAGGCCTCCCCAGCCATGTATAACTATGAGTCAATTAAACCTTTTTTCATCATAAATTACCCAGTCTCAGATAGTATCTTCATAGCAGTGTGAAAACAGACTAATACATTAGGTAAATGTAAATGGGATAGACTGCTATAAATAAACTTCTTAAGTAATTTAAAATCTTAAAGTTATGTTAAATTATAGATACTCATTAAAGATCTGAGTCATTTTAAACAAGATAAAAAATAAACAAATTGCTGAACATAAATATAAATTTGTTCTTGGCTTCTTAAATTTTATGGAAAAGCTAAATATATTTGTATCTATTAATATAGACAAATATTATGAGAAATATGTTTCTAAACATTATAAAATGATTTCCATCTAAAAATACTGATATGTGGGCCAGGTGCAATGGATCATGCCTGTAATCCCAGCACTTTGGGAGGCCGAGGCATGTGGGTCACCTAAGGTTAGGAGTTCAAGATCAGCATGGCCAACATGGTGAAACCTTGTCTCTACAAAAAATACAAAAAAATTAGCTGGGCATGGTGGCAGGAGCCTGTAATCCCAACAGAGTGAGACTCCATCTCCAAAAAAAAAAAAACAAAAAAACCTGATATGTGATCTTTAAAACTGCTTGCTAAAAATTGAAGTTACTAATAGTTAAAAATCTAATTAATATATATGTAATTCACTGCAGAAAGTGTGCCTAAAACTAACTTTTTTCTTTTTTAATAAGAAAAAATGATAAGAAAGGCACCAACATGTGTTGTTTATTGAGGAAAAATTATAATTTTGGGTGATTTAAAGAGTATTTAAATGTTTCTCAAAAATACAGATTTAGGATGTAATTAGAAACAAGAAAGAAAGGAAGGAAAGGAACTAGTAAGTAGGAGAGAGAGATGTGAAGAAAATTATGGATATCAAGGTATATTTTTGGTAAGAAAGGTGAAAAATAAAAGAGAATAATTTCGTGTGAGAAAGAATTTTATTTGACAAACTTTTGTCCTGAAGTACAATGACTGGCTACTTAAAAAAGAGGAAGTATAGGACAAAGCAGAAAGTCCAAATATGTCATCAATGGTCTGAGTAAGTCATGATAAAATTTGTAAAGGAAAAATATATGAAAGAAATTTTGTGTGTAATCAAGATGGCTATAATTAGTGTTATTTGTAAGTCTTTCTAAAGATTGATCCTGGATATTAAAATTACATTAATATAAAACTACAATATGTGATTTCCTATGTTAGAAAAACAAGGTTTTCTTAAATTATTGATTTGCTCCTAATAAAATGTAAGAGGTTAAGTTTTTAATTCTGATATTTAATTCTTTAACAGCCATCTTTTAAACTACAGGGAGTTTCTATTTTTGCAACACTTTTTCCTGAGGTCTATTTAATTCCCCTAGTTTCGGTTGGAAATGTTGTCTTTTTCATTGAGAATGGTAATTTCATTTCTTGAGGTGAAATTCTTCTTCTTGAAGCTTCTCAGATTTCTATCTCATACGTTCAGTTTTTGCTGTATCTTCTGCACATGATTTGCAGGTCATACATCATTGCCTTTTGTTCTTTCTTTTCTTCAAACAGTGTATCTTTTTGCTTGGTGGTGGTGATAACTCGCTTCTTCAATCTTTTCTTCAGTTTCTGTAACATTTCGTTTTCTCTACTTGTACCTCTGCTGATATGGCCTGATGCTGAAATGTTTATCTTGAAGTTCTAAAGAAGGAATTCTTCCTCCAGTATTACTTGTTTCTCTATTCTTGCCTTTTTCAAAATTTGACTGAATTTTCTCCGTAAGCAGGAAACTTCCCATGCTTGTAGTAAAAGCCATGTATTACCCTGCTCAAGGTACTAGTTTTCTTTTTACATTCTTCTATAATATAGTTCAGACTCATAAGCCTGGACACCCTCTTACTGTGTCTCATAAAATTCAAGTACCCTTTTCATCAGATTCAACCTCCAGGTTTTCTAAATGGGCTTCCCATAATAAGAAACAATTTCATTATAGGAGGTTTTTCTTTACCTTTCTGGTTAAATCCATGTAAATTTCTGTATTGCTTTTGAAGTTTTTAAAGTATTTTTCTGTTTGAATGAATATTATTTTATAGTGACCTGTGAATCTGTTTTAATCAATTGTTTTGAAAATTTTGTCATTTTTGATGGGCTTCCCCCAAATCAAAGTTCTAAGTTAAGTCTTTTTGACCAAGAATTAATTTTGGCATTTCCCAGTGGGCCCCTGGAGAGCATCAAAAAGTGTACCTCTCATCTTGTAAAGATGTTAAATAATTAGACTTATTTGGTAAATTCTATTTGAAGCATTGCCAAATGATAAGTGACACTATATCTTTCAGTGACATTTATGGGTATATTATTAATAAAAATGTTTCAAAAAGTATAAACATTTATAAAAATCAAATATGTTTCAGTCATAATTTTTGTTATATTAAATCTTTTCTAAACTTATATTTGTACAGACACTTTATTAATGTGAGCGTTCTAAAGATTTTATGAAATTTATAAAAGTCTGATGGTCCTGATGTGACCCCATTACATGATTATGGTTATCATAAAATGCTATATGTAATAGAAATAACTGAATTTCCTTGTCGGCTGGGAATTTTCATAAAATTTTTGACTATGGCTATTGAAAGATTTTATTATCTATTGTTATTGTTTTGAATTCTTCTCCAAAAGTATTTGCAATCAGTTACAGCCCAAACTTACTTTTTATCAAAAAGATTTTTGCATGTATTCTTAAACACAAATTTCTGATAACCCTAAGGTTAATGAACTAAATAAAAATTCCCAGAACTCTAATAAATAAACTAAAGGTTCATGAAACTACTAATCAAGATCAATTAAAACAAAAAGATTACATGAAATTAAGTAATTGATGAAGCTTCCATTTTATGGCTTTTATTTAAAACATTGTTCATTCTTTACTTAAATGTTTTGTTTTCCAGATTTAAGAAAACTTTCTCACATATGCTAATCTACAGTTTACAACAATTTGGTAAAGTATACTTTTGTGAACAAATATGGAAGCATTTGCTTTTTTCCCTATTTTATTCCTCCAAAATTCAGCAACTATTCATGAGTATTCTTATTTTTTATGACAGTATGATCAGTTACATAATTTTAGTAAAAATATGCTCTCTATTTATAATCAGGATACAATTGGAAGCATTGGTTATATTACCAAGACTTTGACTGAAATTACGTATTTAAAATGTGCATAAAATGCCTTGTTTCAAGAGTCCCTAGCCTTACCATGAGTGAGTACAAATTGTCACTTCCTGGCAGGCTCAAGTACTTTAAGACTGTAAGTAAAATCTAAAGTCTGCCTTGGTTTGGCTTCCTAGCCTCAAAAGGTTTTATAATCTGAAATTCCTACATAAAGAGAAAAAAAGTTATATTTCTAAAGAAAAAGTCTATGATATATCTGCCATTGGATTGTAGCCCTGTGCATTGTTTTCAAGTTCTTGTTATCTACCTGTAGTTTGGGCTAGACCCTGAACTCTCCTAATTTCCTATAACATTTGGCTACAATTCTACAACTAAAAATAAAAACTACTGTGTTCCTAAAATTTGGTAAGCTGAAACTAGATAAATTTTAAAGAACAATCCTCCTGACTGATATATAGGCTTTACAAAAAAAAGTTCATCAAATCACTCAATGTCATAAACAAAGACATTCACACTGATCCAGGAGAAGCTGACATTTTCATGATGTAGGAAGCTTTTTTTCAAGATGTCAGAATAAAATTTCCTATCATAACAAGAATCTCACCCATCTTAATGCCTATCTTTTCCCTTGGCAGTATAATGATATAATTGAAATTTTACAGTCAATAGCTTTTGCTGTTAACTTAACAGAACTTAACCTAAAAATTCCTTTAATATCCACTGGCTAGTAAGAAAAGGTCTGTGCTATTGTTAACACTCCATGCTGCACCTGGAAAAATTCCTCTTCAAAAGTTAAGAGCCATATACACAAAATAATAATAATAAAATGGCTACATGGTTACAACAGATACCACCTAAGTTCCTATGATCATTTGGCTTTTTCAATTCTTTGCCTTTAAGCCTAGGTCCATGGCTTAAAACCATTATGCAAACCGAAGTTATCATATTATTATTAATTTTACTTTATATTTGTCCCTTTTTAAACTTTGTAACTATTACTTGTTAAATTTTTTGCAGAAGTACAACTACTAACAAAATTATGATGGCCCAAAATAGTTGATGACAAACGACTATGAAACAGACAAAATTTAACTTAATAATGGAATCCAGGTAGACTTTGATTGAGAGTCATTCTCCTCTTGTTCAAGTTCATTTCTGGTTCAAGTGTGGTTAAAAGGGTTTTGATACTGATTCCTAGGCACCAATTACTCCTCCCAAATGTGAGATGAGACCAGCAACCAGGACAGCACCATTTCAGGACCAAGGGACATCAAAACCTAACTACAAGATGATTAATCAGTGAAACTTTCAAAGAAAGATTTTAATCAAAGGGGGAAATGTGAAAGTTGTCAGAATCAAAAGGGGATCACTAGTGTTACAACAACCCAGACAAACAGCTGAGAAATGGCATGAAGAGAAGGTTCTCGTGCTTGTATGATTGATAACAAAAAGTATCGCAAAAGACTCTGCAAAAACCATAACCCTGCACAAAGGCTGTTGCAACCTTAAACAAAAGCTACTTCTGCAAGAACATCTGTCCAACAACTATCTGTCCAACCTTAGACCGGTGTCACACTTTTTACTGATCTTTGTAACCAAGGATAATTATTTCAAAACAACTAATTCTCCTTATTTTTTTTCCTTTAAAAACCTTCATCTTCCTTTTCTTCCCTGAATACAAAGTTTACTATGACATGCATATTTCCATTGCAATGGTAAAAAATATTTGGGAACATTTATTTCCAAATAAATGAAGATCTCTCTCTCTCTTATTTAGGGTAACAATGTGCTTAGATAGTAGCAATTATTTCCTCATATTATCATCTTTTCTTTGTTCTTGCCTAAATTTCAGGTGATTGACGTTTTCCAGTGGCTTTGTTTTATGTATTTTGTCCTTACAAATGTTCTGATGTGGGTGACTACAATTTTTGAAATATATTTTTGTTAACAATACAAAATCTGTCAGATATAAAAATTTAATCATTCTAATCTTGTTTTGATGAGTCTACAATTCACTGACTACATTTTATTTAACTGACCTTGTTTGATCATGTATTATTCTCCTCCTCCCCAAGTTAAATTAAAAAATTCTTCATATAGTTACATGAATGTCTGTGAATCTTTAAGTATAGAAAGAAACGAAACAATCTCCCTTTTCTTCTCTCTCTCTGAAATGTACCAAGATAAAAAATATTTCTGAGACATATTTTGAAGCCATAGCTTTCAAATCTTTTCATTGTTTCTTTCAAAATTACAAATAGTCAAAGACCAAAATTAATAATATTCTAGATATTTAGGATTTATATTTGTATGATGTCAGTGTTACTCTATCATCTTTTTACTTTTTTATTTTGGACTGGGGATCCAAAATCAAAAGAAAGCCATTTGTTTATTCTAGTTAGAACCAGAGCATCTTTGCTCCATCAGAGAATAATTGGCAACCAAAATTGAAGCATTCTCAATTAAGATTATAGTGATAGATTGTCATAGCTTTTCTAGCTAGACAAAGAAGGTACAGGGCTTCAGAATTTCCAGAAAATTATGAATACACACATTGATGCACATTATCTAGATCTCTAAGGACTTGAGCACATATTCATCTATATACAAACACATTTAGTTTGGGGACTTTCATCCTCAGCACTACTGACATTTCAAGCCAAATAATTCTGTTCTGTGCAAACTAGGCTGTTTAGCAGTATCTCTTTACCTTTAACTTTACCTTCACCTTACCTACTAGATGCCATTAGCACTCTTCAAAGTCATTTTATGACAATCTAGAATGTTTCCAGTCTTTGTCCAATGTCCCTTGGAGAGAGAAATCATCCTTTGTTTAGAACCATTGACATTGTCCTTTCTAAATAAACAAGCCTTCTCATCTCTAAGAAATAGATTTTGTACATAAACTTTAAATTAAACTTGAAAGAATATTGATATTTAGTAATATTATTTGAACTAAATTATAAATCCCTATAATCCGTAAATATTTATGGAGCACCAACTGCATGCAAATTATATTCTTTTTTGGTACTATTTAAATTCAATGTAAGACACAGGGTCAAACAGGTAATTCTTTAAACAGACATGATATCATTTTAGGGAATTAGAAAGTTAATTTTGAACTACAAAATATTTACCACACTGAATGTAATTTGTCACTGTTTTTAAACTTCTCAATATCTAAAAATTAAAGACTTATTTTGGCTTAAATTTTCTATATTCCAAATATGAAGTTTCATGTTAATGCTAGATATTTTATTTATTTTTATGTATAATTTGCATTCTGATTTGTCTTATTAATACTGCTATACCTGAGAAATGCATATGAGTAATACACATTTTGATAGAGTTGAAAAAATTCCAAGATTAAATTTTACCCTTGTAAGCTCTTCAAAGGAGGGGAGGTTGGTAGTGAGAGTGTTAAATTTCACCTGAGCACCATGCTTCTAAAATACACAGAAGGTTACTGTATTAGTCTGCTTTCATACTGCTGTTTTCACACATACCCGAGACTTGGCAATCTACAAAAGAAAGAGGCTTAACAGACTCACAGTTCCACATGGCTGGGGAGGCCTCACAATCATGGTAGAAGCAGAAAGGCATGTCTCACATGGTGGCAGACAAGGGAAGAATGAGAGCCAAGCAAAAGGGGTTTCCCCTTATAAAACTGTCAACTCTCATGAGACTTATTCACCACCATGAGAACAGTATGGGGGAAACTATCCCCATGATTCAATTATCTCCCACTGGGTCCCTCCCACAACATGAAGGAATTTTGGGAGCTACAATTCAAGATGAAATTGGGGTGGAAACACAGCCAAGCCATATCAGTTACAAAATCCTCCCAACAATTTGTGTTCAGAAAAACTGTAAATGACCACCTTATAAGGCCTACCTCCACCATTCCTCAATTATTACCTTGTTTTATAAGTGCCTAATGATCCCCTTCCTCTTTGAGACATTCTTTATCAATTAAAGTTCTGCTGATTGCATAGCCAGAATAAAATTATATCCTTAATTGTCTTGTGCATTTTGTCTTTCATAGTGGCTTTTTAAAATTAATTTTTGTTTATTTGTTTGCATGGTTTTTATTTTTGTTTTCATTTATTTGTATTCAGATATAGAAGAGTGGAGAAGTCAAGTAATCTCAGGAGGTCCTGGCAATCTCACAAAAATTATGCTTCAGCCGTAAGTAGTCTCCTATCATTTAACAAGATTCCCAGATTATTCATATGCACATGCGAATTTGACTCACATCATCCAAAACACATCCTAGATACTCCTTCTGGTAACCTATAGGCTGTTGCATTTTCTTGTGTCTTTCCCTACTTCTACCTATAGCTAGTAAATGTCTTCTGTTAGAGTAATTTTAAAGTGATTAACCATGATGAGTCTCATCATTTCATTAAGATATCAGGTTCTTTCATACTAGCTTTTGCATGTGTTTCTCTGCCTAAAATGACCCCCTCTCCTATCAAAATCCTATTCATTTATTGTAATCTGTCATTATATATGCCTGTCTCTGCAAGAGCATATATAGGGTAGAAGCTGAGACTCTTTCATTTTTTTTTGTTTTTTCACCTTATCAGTAGCACTTAGGAAAATGACTAGAAAATTGTATGCACTCCATATATATTTAGGTAATTACATGAACTGAATGAATAAGATATAAAATAAGAGACCAATTCATTTATTTAGTCAAAAATAATTATGAAGGACTTACAGAGTAAACACTGTTTCTTGTGACAGTATTTCAAGGTAAGCAAGATATACAAGTTCCTTGCCCACAATTAGTGATTTCAGATCATGATATGTACTTTGAAGTAATATCAACTACAAAGTTGAAATTTAGAAAGTGTCTGGTTTGCAAAACAGGTAGCCCCTCACAGGACAGGTTATTTGAGCTGACAAAAGACAAGTGAAGGGCCTGACCTGTATACATTGATCAGCTAGCAACAACGTGTTCTAAGCAGAAACAGGAAAAGCTTTGGAGTGTTCAACTGATAGAATGTGGCTAGATTCTGCAAGCAATGGGAGGAGTAATATGAATGAAGAATGGAGAGGGAGATTTAAATTTTAAAACATCACTATTACTGCTCTGAGGAGGAGGAGAAATGAGTAGCAAGAGCCTGAATCAGTAAATCTAAATATATAAAATGGTATTCCAAAAAAAAAAAGATGAAGAAATTCATTGGACAAAGGTAATAATAGCAGGGAAAGTTATAAGAAAATGTCATACTTCCCGTGTTGCCAGCAAGACTCTCTCAGACACTTACGAGAGTCCTTTAATCCAATGCTTCCGACGTTTTAATATGCATAGGTGTCTTCCGGGTACAACATTAAACTGCAGATTCTAATTCAGTAGGTCCTAAGTGGGGCCTCAGATTCTGCATTTTTAATGAGCTCCCAGGTGATGCTAATGTTGCTGATCTGCAAAACACCTTTTTAGCAGAAAGGTTTCAGACAATGGCCTGATCTAGGTATACGCATGTTAAGAAAAGAAGCAGAAAAACAAAATTGAAGACTGTCATAACTGGGTTCAAGAATTCTGTACTGCAACATTAAGGTGTCAGACACGAGAGCATAGAAACGCTTAATTCTGATTTATGTAGGCAATTGTTAAATACTGGTCAAATTTGTAATGATCATATTGCCCCACATGTTACAACTGGTGTGATTTCTTAAGTCTAAAGTTTAAAGACACAAGGAGTCAGAAACTGCTTTGAAGACCTGCTGGTGGCTCAGTTTTCTTGTGTCCTTTATACTTTTGATTGGTGAAATCATTTATAAAATATTGCTATTGGCATTTCTTTTCTGACCTTTTTATCAAAGACACATTAATTCTGTTCTTTAGTGTGTTGCAGTGGGGTTCCTCAACTCTTGACATCACTTCCCTTTTCTAAAAACTTATTTTTTGGAGCTTATTAAAACACTGATAGAGTTGGGAAAATACTCTGGAATGAGTGAAAGATAAACACTCCCATTTTTACTTAAATGATTTTTAAAATATTTTTGAATGAGAAAAATGATAAAAGTGAACCAGGACTTGCATAAAACTTAGCACACTAAGTTCCAACTCAGAATTTTTTTTCAGTCCAATATGTAGGTCAACAAAAATGACCTCCAGTTTGTCTGGAAACTTTTCAGAGACTTACGTGATAAAAAGGAGAATCTATTTTAAATACAACAATGTGTACGTACCATCACCTGATATCACTGTCCAGTTCTGATGTACACCCATAGAATTCACCTCAAGTCTATGAACAAACTGGATCAGATCTTTCTCTCAGGTTTTTTTTTAATTTTAAAGTGATTTATCAATGAATTGAATGAATAAAAGTAGGTTAATCTTGTGATTGACAGACAAAATAAATTTCAAGATGATTGTCATATAACCTTTTAGAAATTGATGCAAATTTGTGATTTGAAATTTGGGAGAAATTAACAAATTGGAAAGCCTTGAGAAAAGAAAAGAAATGTCTTGGAAGGAGAAAGTCAGCAAATAATAGGTAGTCTTATGACATATTAAAATTTGACAATATTATTTGAAATTAGAATATGCATTTTCTTTAACACTATGCATTTTCAGAAAAAAAAGTAAATGCCAGTTTTCATTGCATTGAAATATATTTAAAACATGTTTCTAGTTTCAGCTTTCCTTTGAGTTCCCCAATATTATCATAATTGGCTAGAATTTGCTAGATATACAAAGAGAAATTTGAAAGGCCATTATTAAGAATCCATTCCTTATGAGAATGGTGATGGGAAATCATCTCCTCATTTTTATAGGTTAATTAGTCAACACCTAAAATATCAACTTATTTTAAAATTGTCTAAAAAATAAGTGTTCTAATATTGAAGATTATGCAACTTCTACATGTAAAATGGAGGAATTAGGGCACATATTGGTATTTCTGAATACAAACTGGTATAGGTTCTAAAGCTTTACAGTTCACTCTTAAGTAAAAGTAAGTCAATTTGAAACAACTGGGCAAAATATATAAAACAATACCTTTTGAGATATTTGGCATCATGCAGTGAAACACGGTGATATTTTCAAGAAAGGGATACATTTTTTATATTTTTACTAAATACAATTATTAACTCAAAATAGATCATGACTTAAATGTAAAAACAAAAACTATAAAAATCCTAGAAGAGGCTGGACATGGTGGCTCATGCCTGTAATCCCAGCACTCTGGGAGGCCGAGGTGGGTGGATCATTTGAGGTCAGATGTTCAAGACCAGCCTGACCAACATGGTGAAACCTCGTCTCTACTGAAAATAAAAAAAAAAAAAATGAGTCAGGTGTGGTGTCATGCACCTGTAATCCAAGCCACCTGGGTGGCTGAGGCAGGAGATTTGCTGGAACCCTGGAGACAGAGGTTGCAGTGAGGTGAGATGGTGCCACTGCACTCCAGCCTGGGCAACAGAGCAATACACTGTCCAAAAAAAAAAAAAAAATTCATAGAAGAAAAATTAGAAAAAAAAAGTCCTTGTGACTTTAAGTTGGGCAAAGGTTTCTTATATAAATTTCCAAGATTAGGATTAATAAAATAACATATTGATAATCTGACTTATTTATTTATTTATTTATTTTTGAGACAGAGTCTTGCCCTGTTGCCCAGGCTGGAGTGCAGCGGCATGATCTTGGCTCACTGCAAGCTCCGCCTCCTGGGTTCAAGCAATTCTCCTGCCTCAGCCTCACAAGTAGCTGGGATTACAGGTACAGGCCACCACACCCTGCTAATCTTTGTATTTTAGTAGAGATGGGGTTTCACCATGTTGGCCAGGCTGGTCTCAAACTCCTGACCTCAAGTGATCTGCCCTCCTCGGCCTCCCAAAGTGCTGGGATTACAGGCGTGAGCCACTGTGCCTGGCCAATAATGCAAATTTTATCAAAATAAAAAACTTCTGCTCTTCAAAAACAGCAAGAGAAGGGAAATATAAGCCAAAGACAAGAAGACAATATTCGTAAATCATATATCTGATAAAGGACTTGTGTCCAGAACATATAAAGAACTTTCAAAACTCAAAAATAAGAAAACAAACCCAATGTTTTAAAATAGTCAAAAGATTTGACTCGCACTTCATCTAGAAGGTCTACAAATAGCAAATAAGGTCATAAGAAAACACTGACATAGAACAATCTATGGATATAAATTAGGCTTCCGAAAAAAATATTCAACAACATTTCTCATTAAGGAAAAGCACATTAAAACCACAGTGACATACACTGTATACATAATAGAAAATATAAAATTTAAAAGACTGACTATATCAAGTGTTCTGAATGAGGCAGAACAACTACAATTCTCACAAATTGCTGGTGGCAATGTAAAATGGTACAATTACTTTAGAAAACAATTTGGCAATTTAATTAAATATTAAACATGGACTTACCTATAATATGATCCAATGATTCCTCTCTTAGATATTTGCCTGAGAATTAGTATATATGTTCATGTAGTGACTTGTACACAAATATTCAGAACAGCCTTATTTGTAATAGCCCCCAAATGGAAACAATCCAAATATTCAAAGCAGGTGAATATACAAACAAAGTTTGGTTTATCTATTCTTATTTTATTTTTTGTAAAATGACAGTTATGTAGAAGAAAATTTTAGTATATCTATACAAGGGAGTATTACTCACCAATAAAAAGAAATAAGGTGCAGATACATGCAACAACATGAATAAATCTCAAAATAATTACGCTATGTGAAAGACACTAGACAAACAAGATATTATACTTCATTATGCCATTTATAAAAAATTCTACAAAATTTGAACTATTATAAGTAACAAAAAGAACAGTGGTTGCCTGGGAGCAAGGAGGGAGGGAGAAGCAGGAGGTATGGATTAAGAAGAGGCAGGAAAAAATTTTTTGGAGTGATGAATATGTTCATTATCTAGATTGTGGTGATAGTCTCATAAGTGTATGTGTATGTCAAACTTAATACATTGTACACTTTATATATGTGCAGTTGATTAGATGTCAATTATATGTCAATAAAACTGTTGAAAAAAGTAGTCTCTTTAGTATGTGTTCATGGTTTCAATTTACGAAGTTCTAAACATTCAATTTACTTCAAACATTCAACACATTTTTCTTTACTTAAGGTAATATAATTCCATCTCTCAAATAGTTTGAGCTGATTGCCCATGGGGAGGCAGGCATAGTCAGCTTCTTTCTTTCCAACTCAACAGCTGCTGTTTCTGACATTTTCAAGGGTAGGTTTGGCTAGAGGTAAGAGACGTAAAAAATTCTGATTTGATTGCCACTATCATATAATGGATTGGAAATTTCTAGGTCTGGCAAATATTTAAAGCTGACTTCTCTCTAGAGACATTTTTGTTGGTTCTCTAGAGCTGCACTGCTCAATCTACAGACACATGAGGCTACTACACGCTTGAAATGTGATTATTGTAAGAGTAAAATACACACTGATTTCAAAGGCTTAGTATGACAAAATGCTGTAAAATATCTCAACAATTTTTTATTTTTGACTACAATGTTGAAATAGAATATACAGTTTCTTAAATTGTATTTTAGGTTATAAAATATAAATAATAAATAATTTTTAAATGAATTTTACTTTTTTACTTTATAAAACTGTGGCTCACAAAATTTTGAATTACATATGTAATTCACTATATCTTTCCTATTGGACAGCTAAAGAGAATCTCCCTTTAGGTCTTGTGATATAATTCTCCTGGCTCTGACAGTGTTCTTACTTCACCTGGTCACTTCAAATACACTCTTGTCTTAAGCCACAATGATATACTTCATCAGACTTACTCCTGGTATGTTCTCACCTTAGGAGGCAGAAGACCGCAGTCTGGCATTCCCTCTGTGGGCTCCTTATATAGAACTCAGAATTTGGGATGAATGTTGTAATTAACCATCCAGCTTTCTCTTCAGGAAGAAGGACTTAATTAGCCACGTAGTGGGTGGGTCACTCTTAGCTATCAGCTGTTTTGGATTATTTCCTTCCATGGCTAAGCAGTGTCCTAAGACTGATTAACATGGGGAAATTTGGTCGGGCACAGTGGCTCATGCCTGTAATCCCAGCACTTTGAGAGGCCGAGGGTGGTGGATTGCCTGACCTCAGGAGTTCAAGACCAGCCTGGGCAACATAGCGAAACCCTGTCTCTACTAAAACAAAGAAAAATTAGCTGGGCGTGGAGGTGTGTGCCTGTAATCCCAGATACTTAGGAGGTTGAGGCAGGAGAATTGCTTGAACCTGGGAGGCGGAGGCTGCAGTGAGCCAAGATCTCACCACTGCACTGCAGCCTGGGTGACAGAGTGAGACTCCATCTCCAAAAATAAATAAATAAATAAATAAATAAATAAATAAATAAATAATGGGGACATAACAGGCTTGCCCCCTTGTCCCAAGTCATGTAAACGCTGAAGAGCCATTCAACTTCCCGGCTCAACTTCATTCTCAACTCTCCCTTATGCAGCTGTTGATCCCAGAGTACTCACTAATATATTTTTGCAAGCTAGCTAATCACTGTTCCAGTATCTGCTTCCTGGAGAATGCAATACGCAATATTACAGCACATTTGACTCATGAAAATGAGTGTAAGTTCTTTGAAGAAAAATTTGTTCACTCTGTTGACACTAGTCCTTTTATCTTTGTTGGTCCTGACTCAAGCACCAGCCTGCTAAGCCTCTCAATTATGAAGGACACACACCAAGCTCTCAAAGTAATCTCACTGAAATCCTTCTTATTAGGCTTGAGGTTAGGCAGACATTCTTCTCTTTCTAACTCAATGAGAAGATGGAATTCATAGCACAACTCTCTCAAAAACAATCCTTTAAAAATGTTTTCTCTTTATATTACTGTCCTGTCTCTTCCTTATTTTGTTTGTGAGTCAGTCACAAATTTTTGGTCATGATATTCTCACAATTCATTTTGCAATGTAGCATTTCTCTCTTTCCTGGTGAGCTTTTTTTTTTTCTTTTTTTTTCTTTACGCCTCAAGATAAAGTGAAGCAAGAAAGGAAGAGGAAAGAGTTCAGTTGAATATTTAGTTACTGGTAAAAGCTCCGAGATTTCCATATGTCCTGGTCTTACAACATAAGAATAATAAAAGCTCAATAAAAATATCACAAGACTGTAGTAGCTAATAAAAGTTTTAAAAATCTGCACTAATTCAAATTACGGTTTTAAACTAGTTTTTAATATGATTGATATGATCAAATCTGTTTTTCCCATTGAGAATTACCTTTCCCTCTCAGGATTTTGGCTACATATAACTTTTTTCATAACATTTAGTATTTGATTTTATTATACTAACAATAATTCCAAATCACTCAATATTGTCTCTACAGTTTGCAAACAGTTTTGTTATCTTCCTATTTTTTTTATTGTCAGAGAGCTAAGTAAATTTACTAAAATCTTTGAAATATTTTGTATGCATGCTACTTCCATGCAATTATGTATCTATAATAATAGGTTTTAAAAAGCTAATCGACTTTGTTAAATATCTACTTTGTAAAATGATCATTATAAATCATTGTGAGGAGTTAATTGTCCTTATTAAAATATTATTTTGTAGATATATTACAATGAAAAATCTTTTAAAAGATTGAATTTTATACTCATCAACTTTTTGAAAATTAATATGACTCCCTACCCTTCAATTTTAATATTATTACAAAGCTTTTGTGACATATCAGTGTTTATCTATAGTCTTTCCTTGATATGTGAGACATAAGATAAGTATTTCGGTTTAGGTTTTTTATTTTGCTTTTTAAACAACTGAGAGATTACATTGATTTAAACTTTCTCATATTCTATTTAAATAACTGTATGGGAAATTACGGGTCGCTGAATTAGGCCTAGCATTCTGAGGTAAGAAGTAGAAGACTAGCCTTATTTCTAGCAGAAAGATGATTTAAAATAAATCTTCTTAAGGATATGCTCTGGTATTTGTTTTTTTATAAGGTATGCCAAGAAAAATATGATAAATTTGCAACACAATTTGATTTATATGTAACATGATTAGTGAGGTCAACTATAAAAGTATTGCAGATTTTCCAATGCAAACTTGACATTTTCAGTCTCACTGCCAGGAGAGCATGCACTTTAAGTTTCTTTAAAGACTGGCAATGATGAATTTGCAGCATCTGATCCATATACTCTCACAGGGTCCTTCTCAAAAGCACAGAAATGGTCTAGGCCAATGTCTATGTCTATGAAAGGAAGAGAAAGCCGATATGATCAAATCTCCACTACTGGCCTCACTAGCATGTTTCAAAGAAGAGAATCATCAGCTTCAGAAGTCATACTAGCATTTTAATGTTATGATTAGTAGTAATATTATGTTGTTATTCAGTGTACAGGTAGATCAAACAACTTCCTAGTTCCCTTGTCCAGCTTATTCATTTATTTAAGAAGTCTTTACTGTGTGATATTAAACTTTATGAAACAAATAAAAGGTATAGATCCTATTCTCCAGAAAGCTATGGTTCCAGCATAAAGCAATATATGCACAGGAACAATTTCAAATTATGTGAAGAATAGCTACTTTTTGTACCTATGTTTGTGAACTCCAAGTCTATTGTTCTATTTCCATTGGCTAAGCAGAGTAGGGCCCAAAATCCTTAGGTGTCACAGACTACATAACATGTATACGTAGTTACTCAACAATAAACTGTCACAGCATGCTATTTCATAGCTTTATGTTTGTCTTGGGTTGAAATACATGGACTTACTTTCAGACCTTGTTACATATGACCTCCTTCAGACCTTGTTTACATATTACCTCCGCTGTGAAATCATCTCCAAATCCTCTGAAAAGAACTAATTGATATCTGAGCTTTGGCTCAGTAATACCAGAGAAGGACCATAATAAAACAGAATATGCATGGGCTTTAGTACTGGATTGCTGTTGTTGATTATATCTCTAAAACTTACCTGCTAGGCAGCCCTTAGACATATTGTTTACCTGCATGAGCCTCAGCTTTCTCTTAAAATGGAACTAGTAACACCTATCTCACAGGACTTGGTGAACTAATATAGGAAAAGCACAGTGCTTGGTACATAACAAACCATAGAATAACATAAAATATTATTATACAATTACTATATATATGCCTAAAATATAAACACGTGGTCAGTAATACTATTTAATATTTTAATTTAATAATTTAATTAAATAAATACTATTTAATAACACCAACGATAAGAATAAGAAGTAATCATGTCTAGGCTTCTATCTCTTTTTTTAGCCTGTGATAAAATTAAAGACAACTGTCTTCCTCACTTTATTTCCTTAGTTCAGCTAAGCCTCTCATCTGTAGTAGTTGTTCAATGACTGTAAAATTAATGACTCAATAAATTAATTACACAAAAGTTGAAATGACTATGTTTTGCTCTACTGGGATGACTTCCCAAAATGTGATGTAAAAAGAGTATGCTGAAAAGCAATGGGTGGGAAACATGGGAATGTAGATTGAAGTAGTGGCACTAGATTATGAGGAATATAAAAATCTAGTGGCATGGGGGAGTTAATACAGGTTTCTTTGAAGAACAATAGGGGTTAGATTATTACCCTTGTTCTAAGTGTTATGGTGACTCTCTGTTTTGTTCCCCATTGTATAATAGATTCTTATGTACAGTGATACATATTATTTTAAATAGAAAATATTATTATAATATATAGATATTATTTTAAATAGAAAATGACATGCACTGTAAAAGAGGTATGAATTATGTACTCTTAACATAATAAGTCAGTGCATAGTCTTGGCACCTTTGTCAAAAATCTATTGGCCATACATTCACAGGTTCATTTCTGGGCTCTGTATTCTGTCCCATTGGCCCATGTACATGCTATTTTAATTACTGTAGCTTTACATTCTGTGCTGCAGCTGTGTATAGTTTGAAATCGGGTAGTGTGATACCTTCAGATTTGTTCTTTGTTCTCATGATTGACTTGGCTAGTCTGTGTTCCAATTTTTGAAATCAGGTACTGTGATACCTTCAGCTTTGTTCCTTTTGCTCATGATTGACTTGGGTATTCTGGGTTCCAATATACAAATCTGTGAAAATTGTCACTGGAATTGTGATAGAGATTGCATTGAATTTGTAGAGCACATTGGATAGTACAGACATTTTAACAATATTAATTTTTCTAATCCATGAACATAGAATATCTTTCCATTTATTTGTGTCCACTTCAACTTTTTAAAAATGTTTTATAGTTTCCAGCGTTAAGATATTTCACTTTCTTGCTTAAAGTTATTCCTAAATATTTTTGTTGCTATTACAAATGGAGTGTTTTCTTAATTTCTTGTTCAGATAGTTTGTTGTTAGTGTATAGAAATGCTATTATTTTTTGTTTGTTGATTTCATATGATGCAGTTTTACTGTATTTGCTTATGGGAAATGGATAGTCTCTTATACAAACAGTGTTGGGAAAATTAGTATCCACATACAGAAGAACAAAATTGGACCTTTGTCTTACACCACATAAAAAAAATCAACTCATAATGGATTAAAGACTTAAACCTCTGATTTTAAGGAGAGACACTGTAACAGTAATAGAAGAAAACATGGAATAAAAAGCTCCATGACTTTGGTCTACACAGTAATTCTTTGTATTTGGCGCCAAAATCACAGGCAACAAAAGCAAAAATGGACAAAAGGAATCACTCAAAACCAAAAAGCTGCACAGCAAAGGAAACAATTAACTGTGTACACAGACAACCTACATATTGGGAGAAAATAGTTGTGATCTATTCAATAAGAAGTTAATATCCAAAATATGCCAGAAGTTCAAACAACTCAATAGCAAGAAAACAAAACAAAAGAAAAATACCAAAAATGGGCAAAGAATCTCAATAGACACTTCTCAAAAGAAGAGATAAAAATGGTCAACAGATGTATTTAAAAATGCTCAACATTGCTGATCATTAGGCAAATGCAAACTAAAACCAAAATGAGATACCATCTCACACCTGTCAGAACAGCTATTATCAAAAAAAGAAGATAGCAAGTGTTGGCAAGGATGTTCAGATAAGAGAACTGTTACAGATTTTTGGTGGGAATGCAAATTTGTAGAGCCATTATAGAAAACTGAATGGGGATTCATCAAAAATTAAAAATAGCATCACCATATCATCCAGCAATCCCATTTCTTGATATTTAATCAAAAGATTTAAAATTATTTTGTAAAAGAGGTGTTTTCATTCCCAGTTTATTGCAAAACTATTCATAATAGCCAACTTATGGAATTAACCTAAGTGTCCATCAACAGATGGATAAAGAAAATACGGTATATATCCACAGTGTAATACCATTCAGCCTTTAAAAAGAAGGAAATTCTATCAACAAAAGAAGGAAATTCTTGCAACAACATGATGGAATTGGGGAACATTATGCTAAGTAAAATAAGCCAGGACAGAAAGACAAATACTGCAAGTTCTTACTTATATGTAGAATCAAAAACAGTTAAATTCATAAAAGCTGAGAGTAGAATGGTGTTACAGCGGCTGGGGCAGGCAGTAATGGGGAGATGATGGTCAAAGTGTACGAAATCCTCAGGCAGAAGGAATATGCTTTTATTTAGATCTATTGCACAGCATGAGGATATAGTTAATAACAAAGTATTTCACTTTTCAAAATTGTTGACAGGATGAATTTTAAATATTATCACAGCAAAAAATGTTAATATTTGAGATTATGGATATGTGAACTAGCTTGATTAAATTATTGTGCATTGTATTCATAAATTATAATATCACTTTGTACCCCAAAAATATGTGCCATTATAAATTGACAATATACAATAAAAAATAAAAATAAACATTTTGTCTTACCAGTAGGCTTTTTCTAGAAACTTGGAAGCCTTGCTGGCCAAGAAGAACCAATAGATCATATTGGGAGGCCCTTTTGGCTAGGAGGTGAGAGTAGACTCAAGTTGACAGCCAGCAAGAAGCTGAAGGACCTCATACCTACTGTGGCAAGAAAATAAATTCCTCTAACAGAATTATTTGCTGGAGGAGGATTCATTGTCAGTTGTGCCTCCAGATGAGAATGCAGCACAGCTGACATCTTTTGACTGGAGCCTTGAGAGACCCTGAGCAGAGAACCCAATTAAGCCACAACTGGACTCCTAATCCAAGAAACTGTCAGATAATAAATAGCCAACTTATGGCTGTTATAAGCCAAAAAAATTAAAATTAAAATAATGTCTATATGGGAGAGTAGAAATGTCCATGAGGATACAGGAGATACAACCAATCCTTGCCAAGACTGATGTACTTGACGAGATTTAACCAGCACAATGCTGTTTTCTTCACTCCAATTACTTCCCATCCCCAACCAGATAAAGAAGGACTCAGTGTCCTGTCAACCCATGACAATCTTTATCTAAAGGATACTGAATGTGTTTCATCTGTTTGTTGTCTATGTGGTCTCTGTGAGTCTATGACTCTGTCTGATATTAGGCAAGTTATTTATTATCTACTTCAATTTCTCCAAATGTAAAATGGTAATATATAGGAGATAAAAACATCTCTGACCTCACAGAATTTCTGTAAGAGTTAAATGAGGTTATCCATGCAAGACACTTAGCATTCAGTAAGCATATGGCACTCAATAAGTTTGCAAATGTTACGTTTTACTGTAATTAGTGAAACCCCATTCATATATAGGGAAGATACCCTGTTTTACCTCTACCTTTAGAACTGCAAAGTTATAACTTAATCATATGACTTCACTGAGTTAGAAACCAGGGCACAGGAGTTCTGACTTTATCTCTACCACTTATTAAGTGGCCTTGATTAGGTCACATAGCTTCTATGGGCATTGGTTTCCTCACCTGTAAAATACAGGCTTCAACTACATGGTCTCTATAGTCCCTTATCATACTAACAGTTTATAATCCAGTGCACCATTAAGGGTAAGTGATATATGAAGAAAGTCAGTCTTGCCTATTCAGGGTGCTGCCCACTCAGGGGAGCAGGGGTCAGTAGAGAAATGGGATAGACATGATAATTTGTGAAATTAAACAAAGGAAAAATGAAAGCAGAAAGCACCAATTCATCTGAACATAAAGCAATGGGATGGAAAGACTTAATAGAATGGAATAGAAAGCCATGTTAAAAAATTGTAAGTCAGAGGACACATATCTATGTTTAAAGACAGAAGGAAGATATTGGTAAAGAAAAAGAGATAAAAATATATATCCTTCATATATGTTAATTTTCTAAAATTAGAATTATTATTTGTTTTTTCACCATTTTCATCAGCTAAGGATTATGTTTTGTCAGTAGCAGTCTTTTGAGAATTTATCCCACTTGTTTTATCATTTCAGAAAGTCTCTCAACAAGATGTTAATTTTGTTGCCAATCTAGGAAAGTTAACTTGAAACTATAGGTGAAATTTAATGCTGTCTACAGTGCAATTTCTTTTGTTCCATAGAACCATAGTACAACCAGAAAAGTTTTAAAGTCAAAACAACTTATGATCTTCTAGCTCTCTGTACTGCTCTGCACTTTAAACATCAATGATGTACTTGCCCACTTTAGCTGAATTAAAGATGCTGTAATTACTGAGTCATAAGATAAGAAACTAGAGAGTCAAAGGAAGGAAAATGGAGGCAACAGTTCAAAAATGAGGATACCTGAAAACACTAGGCTCTAGTTAAGAGACAAAGATGTCTTAAGAGAAGAAACTAAGAAAGAATTGGTAACATGGAATCCAATGATTTGTCATTATAGGTAGGTGCAAAATCTCTAACAAAGTAAATATTTGATATATAATAATACCTTTAAGACAACACAAAACCATTAGAAAATAAACATGAAAGAATATGTTTCAATTATATTAAAATATATTGTCCCTAGATATTATTGTTATGGATATTGTTTTATGACAGTAACACTGACAATTACTACTAATATTTTTATCTGACATTAACAGACTGAAATTACTTTCATATATTACCACGTATCAAGAAAGGCAGATCATCGACAGACAAATTAGATTAACATAGGCATTACTATGTGCTAGGCACTTCACTGAGTACTTTACATAAGCTATATTATTTAATTCTCATAACAGATCTACAAAATAATATTGTCCCCATTTTACAGACAGTAAGACTCAGAAAGATCAAGCCACTTCCCAAGTCACATAATTAGTGGCATCACAGAGATTCAAACCGAAATTTGTCACTTTTGAAAACAATATAAGTTCAGGAAGAGAACAAAAGAAAACCCAGGAGAAAAGATTCACTGTTAAAATTTCTAACTCAGGATACTATTGGTAATGTGAGAAACAAGAGGAAGTTATGGGCAGAGAGAAAATTGACTAAAACAAATTAAAACAACAGAAATTTAGAAGAAAAAATTATGTCATTCTTAATCAAAGCCCTCTTTATACAATTTTATATTAATTTATATCCATTCCCTGTGTCTAATGCAATAAATTAGTCATTCTATTTGAGCTGCATCAGATTCACCAAGAGGGCTTATTAAAAGAGACTGCTGGACTTCTCCCCCAAGCGGTTCAGATTCAGTATGTCTGGGGGTGGAGCCTGAAAATTTTCATTTCAAGTAGGTTCCCAGGTGATACTCATGAGGTCCAGGGACCTCACCTTGAGAACCAGTGTGTAAGCTATTAAATCTGGATGTCCAGTTAAAATAGGATACTTGAAAGCTCTATCATATCATTTAAAGTAGTAGTAACTTTGTAAAACAAATCATTCAAAAGACACTCTCAAAAAGAATAAAAATAAATCAAATTTTTAAAATGAAATGCTCAAAACCTATTTTTCATATCCATTCAATGTTGCTCAGAAAGTCATTGCTGTAATTCATTTTTAAAGTTGAAATGCCAAGTAGAATAAAGGATGTGGGATGTTATTGCAGAATTGTCTTTCTTTTAATTTAACCTTTTAAAGTACAGTAGACTCAAGCGTTAAAAAGGAATGGAGTTCACTGATTACAGGGCTTCAGGAGAAATACTTAACATGAAAAAATAGAAATCATTTTACAATGGAATACAACTGTCATTCACTGAAGCCATGTGGGAGTATGTCTTTATATACAAAATTAGATTATACTGCTTGAAATATCTTCATATAATCATATAAATGATAAAATTCCTGGTTTTGTTCATGCCTACTCAAAATTAACACTGGAAGGAAAGGAGAAGAAGGAGAAAAGAAAGAGGAGAAGAAGGAGGAACAGGAGGAGGAGGAGGAGGAAAAGAAATAGGAGGATGAGGAAGAGGAGGAGGAAGAAAAAGAGAAGTTTAAGTTGTCTAGTATTATTTTCAACAGTGTGTTGGCAGACAGGTGGTCTTACTAAGAGGCTCTCTGGCATCTATACAACACATCTTTTTATACAGCCTACCCCTGCTTTGTGGTTCAACGCTTCATCAATTAATAAGGTAGTTAATGTGTTCTCCACTATAAAAGTTTTATTCTCTTCTGGCATTTTCTGTCAACATTTCAGGGATTTAAAGTGAAAAAAATAATAATGAATGATCAAGAAATCACCTCTCTTTCAGGTTAATCTTGAATTGTGAATTTCATAAGTGTGCTTTAACACAACTAAGGCAAATGAGTCACTGAGACTTCCCTCCAACTCTTAATCCCATGCAGAGCACAGAGAGAATTCCTTGGGTGGGAACTTTGTTTCAAGATTACAAAAACTGTTTCCTTATGCATTCTGGCTGGAGCTTCCTGTTTGTTTCAAACCATGGATTGAAGAAATGATGTGAGAGAGAATGACAGCTCATATTCTAAGTAAAGGTGGACTACTAGTTGGAGTAGATTCAAATCCACATAGCCTTTAAATGTACAGATTATACCTTGTAAGGCTTGTTGCTAAACCATTCTTAGTTCATTTTTGAAGAGATTCATTCTTGGGGAGTGGAGAAGTAAAATGAGAATTAAAGGAATGGGGTAGAAAAAAGACAATCATAACTTCATACCAGATATTGGTGAGCACTTCAAGTCTCTGAGCAACTCTAGAAAGACGAGATCAAGACAGCATAGCAAGAATATAGTAGAGGCAAAATCTCTGATTCTCAGAATCTGATTTTTCCACTAAATGAAGCACAAACTAGAATAGTCCCAAAGATTTTTTTTTTTTTTTTTTTTTTTTTTTTTTTTTTTTTTTTTAGCAGAGTTTTGCTCTGCTGCCCAGGCTGGAGTGCAGTGGTGTGATCTCAGCTCACCACAACCTCTGCCTCGCAGGTTCAAGCAATTCTCCCGCCTCAGCCTCCCAAGTAGCTGGGACTACAGGTGTGCCACCACACCCAGCTAATTTTTGTATTTTTAGTAGTGACGGGGTTTTCCCACGTTTGCCAGGCTAGTCTCAAACTCCTGACCTCAACTGATCCGCCTGCCTCAACCTCCCAAAGTGCTGGGATTACAGGTGTGAGCCACCGTGCCTGGCGGCAAAGACAACTTTTAAATGGAATACTCAAAATCACCTACTGCATTAATATCTGCTTCAGATAAACATTATAAATATCTTTTCATTTAAATGATTTAATGTAAACTAATGCTTAGCATTATCTCTTTTTCATCTCCAAAATTATTCTTTAAATATTTGGTAATTTTTCACTTATTGTTTCTGAAGAAGAAAATATGCTTTTATATTTAATGTGTGATTTAGCTTACTTTTAAAAAATTAGAAATGTATAGATAAATGATTTAATAGTATTAGCACTTTGGGCTTTTAAAGATAGGCATTTGCATTGAAATATTAATCCCTAAATTCTATTTTAAAGTCTGCAGGCATCATTAAAAACAAAAAAAATGCACAACTTTTTGTTTCTTTAGTCAGTATTTCTTTGGAGTCATACTTAATAATGGAAAAACATCTTTCATATTAAGAAACTTCTTTTTTCCCTTTTAAATGTGACATGTGACCAGCAACATGAAATTAATGTCTTTGGATCAATTACAAAATTACTGTTCTGCTATCCTGATACTTTATAGCTGTCTTCATAACTTTGCATTCCTTTTCATCAAATTTATACCAGCTTAAGTCCTCCTTTGTTAATCTACTTGCCACTAATTCATTATTTCTTGCTAAGGAACCACCCAATGCACTGCTGTCTCTGGATAGTGGTTCTTACTACACTTCTCTGAGAAAGAGCATCCTTTCTGTCTTTCTACATAGTATTCAAGACTTCCTTATTCCAGAAATATTTCTAACCTCATCTCACTTGATTCCACATTTATTTATTTGGTTTATTATTTATTATATTTTCTTATTTTTCGAGACAGAATCTTGCTCTGTTGCCCAGGCTGGAGTGAAGTGGCATGATCTTGGCTCATTGCAACCTCCGCCTCCCGGGTTCAAGTGATTCTCTTGCCTCAGCCTCCTGAGTAGCTGAGATTACAAGCACATACCACCACATCCAGCTAATTTTTTTATATTATTGGTAGAGACGGTGTTTTACCATGTTTGCCAGGCTGGTCTTGAACTCCTGGCCTCAAGTGATCCACCTCCCTTGGCCTCCCAAAGTGCTGGAATTATAGGCATGAGGCACCGCGCCTGGCCCACATTTATTTTTGATGAAAATCAGGAGAGAGAAGTAAAATCAGAAGAGTGAAATAAATGGTAAGGTAGATACAACTGGCTCTCCTTAGAAATTTCCTGAATAGGACCACAGATCACTGAGCCAAGACTTGTAGCCATTGCACACCATTCACAGGATTATCTCACATTTCCTGGGTGTTGAAGTAAAGTTAGTTTTTCATTCTACACTGGTGGGTGTACGTCTCCCATTCTAGCATGAGGACACTAGTTGTGTCCAAGAGTTTGAGATTCTAATCCAAATTCCCTCTTTGTGAACATCTGCTCCCTTCTTTCAGTGGGTTTAATACACAAAGAATATTACATGGAAAAGAAAGTCAAACACCTGTTTTAGGTAGAACCCCGAAGTTGTGAAATCACACTATATAAGGTTGACGCTTAGAATATTTTGAAAAGTTAATATTTTCAAATGATGTTCATAGGACCTTAATAATATAACTAAAGTTAGTAGATAAAGTGGTAGTCATTAAAGGATTTTGAACTGAGGCAAACGAACACAAGAGTTATCCTGATCTGATAGCTACAAGAGAGAATTGTGACGGTTAAATGAATGATTATGAAAGCCTGAACTATGGGGTCTCAGAATTAAATAACAAATATAGGCTCTAGAGATATCACTGGAGATGGAAGCATTAAGATTTAAAAACTTTTTATTATTGATGAATATAAATGATGGGGAAAGTGGACCGGGAAGAACAAGGGCTCTAGTATGAGTGACTGGGAAAGACAGATGCCCTTAACAAAAAAGAAACCTCAAAAAGTAGCAGTGTTGTATGTGTATTTCAGAACTTGGGTGATCAGGGAAGGGCAATGGAATATAGGTTAGGTTTTATATAGGCTAAATTTGAGTAGATATGAAGACAGCAAGAAAATATGTTCAGCAGTCAGACATGAAGGACTGGAAATAGTCGACTTATTTAAGTAATGAGCACAGAGAAGATATTAGAGACCAGATGCACGAATACAATCAAAATTATAAAAGTATAGAGACAATAGGGCCAAGCATAAAATCTGAGTGCCTAAAATTAGGAAACAGAAACAGGAGGAATTCAAATGCTGTTATTAGTCACTAATAATATAGATGGATCATCTGTTATATCAATTTGGCACGATAACAGCATTAGTACTTGCTAATTTATTATGACACTATTTATTATTCCATTTCTCTTATGTTAATAAAAAGTCACTATTATTTTGAAAATATTGCCAGCAATGTAATTCATTCTCTACTTATTGCAAAGATATTTACTCATAGGCATGAGGTTCTGTGTTAGGCATTGGGAGCTACGTAGTTTAAAAAGACATGGTATTTGGCTTCAAGGGACTTTTGCAGAAAAGTAGTCAAACATTCTTTTTTTTTTTTTTTTTTTTTTTTGAGATGGAGTCTTGCTCTTGTCGCCCAGGCTGGAGTGCAATGGCGCGACCTAGGCTCACTGCAACCTCCACCTCCTGGGTTCAAGTGATTCTCCTGCCTCAGTCCCCCTAGAGGGAAGCCTAGCCTGCAGCTAGGATTACAGGGGCCTACCACCACGCCCGGCTAATTTTTGTATTTTTAGTAGAGGTGGGGGTTTCACCATCTTGGCCAGGCTGGTCTCGAACTCCTGACCTCAGGTGATCCGCCTGCCTTGGCCTCCCAAAGTGCTAGGATTACAGGTGTTGGGCCACCGTGCCTGGCCAGTCAAACATTCTATTATATATTAATAAAACACAATACTCTTTCAAAATAGTAATTATAACTTAAACTCCTTTTCATCGATACCCTTGAATAGTACTGTTAACCACTTTATCCACCAATTTTCACATTTATCCATCTCACTCGATCTTTATAACAATGCTGTTGAGAAAAACAGACAAATATGTTTCCCCATCTGACAGCTGTTTCTGGCCTATCCACCCACATCTGTTATCTCTTAAGAGATTTTTCAATCAGGGTAGGGTGTTGGTGATGGAAAAATATGATGCAACTTCAACTCTCCTTCTTCTTAGAAAATATTGAAAACCTGTGGCTTCCTTAGGAAGATTTCTCTTGTCACTAAAGCTC